>NW_003315915.1:0-188093 GCF_000001405.40 Homo sapiens | reverse complement strand
AGAACAGACAGATATCTAAACCTTATGGTTGGGAAAGGTACATATGGGAAGACCCTGATGAGGCTGGTGACATTGATTTCCTAAATTGTGATAAGATTTTATTAGAGTGTTTTTTGTTTGTTATTTATTTATTTATTTATTTTTTGCCAGTGGGAGAGGTATCTCGACCTCCAGTAGAAGCAGACTCTTATCTTCAGCAGAAGTGGCCTCCCCATCACTAGTTGTAGCAGCCTCCCCACAACATTGGTATCTGCCCTTCCATCTCCTTTGGAGGAAATACCCCTGAATTGCCTGAGAAATGATATTGACCTCTTCTAAAGCAATTGTCATGCAAGACAATGTTAATTCTCCTCAGGACTTACCCCAACTATCCCTCTTTGCTTATATACCTACAACTACACTTCATTCCTAGTAGGATACTAATGGTGAAGTACAAAGTGTGTCCTATGAGGTGTGCTACACTCCAAAAGAAGTACTTATATTTCCTAAATTAGACAAGCAGAAATCCAAGGAACATATATGAAACTGGATCTTAAGGGCACAGGATAATGGTGGGAAAGATTATAAATTTGGATCAGGTTATATTTATTCATATATGCTCACTAGGCAGAGATTCTGCATTCAATGTTACCGCTCTCGAAATTAGGACAGTAACAGTTTGGGTGTTTGGCTAAAACATAGATCAAAATATGGCCTACCATGAGTGAATTGGAAATGCTTAATATCCTCTGCTTTAACATAAAATAAAGGATCCTAAGGCTTAGGGAATTTGGAATTTTAAAGTGGGTTTATCTTGAGACAGAGTCTTGCTCTCTCTCCCAGTCTGGAGTGTAGTGGTGCGATCTCGGCTCACTGCAAGCTCCGCCGCCAGGGTTCACGCCATTCTGCTGCCTCAGCCTCCCGAGGAGCTGAGACTACAGGCGCCCGCCACCACGCCCGGCTAATTTTTTTGTGTTTTTAGTGGAGATGGGGTTTCACCGTATTAGCCAGGATGGTCTCTATCTCCTGACCTTGTGATCCGCCCGCTTAGGCCTCCCAAAGTGCTGGGATTACAGGCGTGAGCCACCGTGCCTGGCCGGATTTATCATTTAACACCTACTCTCCCACATTGAAAAGGTACAGAAAGAATAACTTTCACCACTACCTTGAGAAATAAATATGTGAGGGGAGCTTAAAAGCTCTGTGATTCCTTTTCTCTGTAGGCCACAATTTGTAGTGGGAACCACAGCCACTCAATAGAAAAACCTAAATGAGATGAGAATAATTGGATCCTGGGATGGCAAGGGCAACATGATGACAACTGCCAACTAAAAGGTGGGTGTAGTTACCATAATGGACAGCAGAGTCAAAGAAGCAATCAGAACAGTCTGTGCAGACCCATGGCTTTAGCTAATTAATCATGGTGTTCCTAAAAGAGAATTAGGAAGAAAGGCTACTGAATTCTCACTTGATCTGTATAAACAGAAAACTTCTAGATTATGTGAACAAAATTCTAACTCAAACCATAAAAACAAAGACATAAAAACAAAGGCCCTCAATTAATTCTCAGACTTGAGTTAGTTTCCAGAACCGGAACCGGAACTCACTGAATAAAAGGGAGGCTGGGTTCCATTGAGATGGGTCCCCAGTACACTATCAAAAATTTGTACCCTGAATTTTTCTTCCAACCTTCCCCAAAAGGAATTATGGCCTTTTACCAGAGGAACTGTGCATTAGGAAATAAAATATTCAGACCTTTGGACACTACTGGACACTGAGTCTGAACTGACATTGATCGCAGGAGACCCAAAACATCACTGTGGCTTCCAGTCAGAGGAGGGGCTTATGGAGGTCAAGTGATCCATGGAGTTTTAGCTCTGGTCCATTTCAGAATGGGTCTTGTGAATCTGTTAACCCATCTTGTGATTACTTCCCCAGTTCCAGAATGAAAAATTGGAATAGACATACTTTGCAGCTGTAAGAATTCCCACATAGGTTCCCTGACCTGTGGAGGGAGGGCTATTAAGGTGAGACAGACCAAATGGAAGCCATTAAAACTGCCTCTACCTAGCAAAATCATAAATCAAATGCAATATATCATTACTGAAGGGATTGCAGAGGTTAGTGCCACCATCAAGGACTTGAAAGATGCAAGAGTGGTGATTCCCATCACATCCTTATTCAAATCTCCTATTTGGCCTCTGTGGAAGAAATAGACCTTGGAGAATAACAGTGGATTACCATTAGTTTATCTAAGTGATGATTTCCATTGTAGCTGCTATACCACATGTGATTTCATTGCTTGAACAAATTAACACAGTCCTTGGGATCTGAGATGCAGCTATTGATCTGGAAAATGTTTTTCTCCATCTCTGTCCTTAAGACCAACCAGAGTTTGCTTTCAGCTGACAAGGCCAGCAACATACTTTCACTGTCCTACCTCAGGGGCATATGAACTCTCCAGCCCTGTGTCATAATTTAGTTCACAGGGATCTTCGCTGCTTTTTCCTTCTGCAAGATATTACACTGGTCAGTTACATTGATGAGATTATCCTGATTAGGTCTAGTGACTGAGAAGTAGCAACTATTCCAGACATATTGTGAGGGCATTTGCTTGTCAGAGGGTAGGAAATTAACCCAACTTAAAATTAAGAGCCTTCTACCTCAGCGAAATGTCTAGGGGTTCAGAGGTATGGAGCATATTGTGATAGTTTTTATGAAGTGAAGGATAAGTTGTGGAATCTGTTCCTCTTACAACCAAGAATCACAAAGCCTAATAGGTCTATGTGGATTTTGAATGCAATATATTCCTAACTTGAGTTATTACGACTCATTGACTAAATGACCTGAAAAGCTACTGTCTTTGAGTGAAGCCCCAAAAAAAAGTCAGCTCTCCAACCAGTCCAGGTTGCTATCAAGCCTCTCTGCCACTTGTGCCATTTGAACCAGCCATTCCAATAGTGCTTAAGGTGGCAGTGGCAGATAGGGATTTGAAGCCTGTGACAGGCTCTCATAGGTGAATGGTAGTACAGGTCTTCAGCATTTGGAGCGAGGTCCTGGTATCACCTGCAGATAACTACTGTTCTTTTGAGAGACAGCTTTTGTTAGGTAAAAATATCACCTTGTTATTGTCTTTTATTTAGAAATTAAGTATAATTTAAAAAGATGTGTATGGGTGCCGAACTGACAAGGTGTATACCAGTGAGGGTTAATGTGTCAACTTAAGTGGGATAAGCAATGCCCAGGTAGCTGATAAAACATTATTTCTAGATGTGTCTGTGAGGATGTTTTAGAAAGAGGTTAGCTTTTGACTTGGTAGGCGGAATAAAGAAGATTGCCCTTACCAATGTAGGTGAGCATCATACAATCTATTAAGGGCCCAAATAGAACAGAAAGGCAGAGGAGGGAAAATTTGCTCTTTGTGTTTGAGCTGGGACAAGCATCCTCTCCTGCCTTTGGAATTCAGTTCTCCTGGTTCATGGGCCTTCAAACTCACACTAAGACTTGCACTATTGGCCATCTAGTTCTCAGGTCATCAGACTGGACTGAATTAAACCACGATAACTCCCGATTCCTGGTTCTGCAGCTTGCAGATTACAGATTGTGAGACTTCTCAACCTCTATAATCATGTAAGCTAATTCCTACAGTAAATTTCTGTGTGTGTGTGTGTGTGTGTGCATGAACATATGTTTTTAGTTATGTAAAAGTGGTATTGCATCATTAATAGAAACTTTTTTTAAATAAAAAGAACAAGAAACATAAGTTTATTTTACTTTAATGGATA
Source organism: Homo sapiens (assembly GCF_000001405.40). Lineage (NCBI taxonomy): Eukaryota > Metazoa > Chordata > Mammalia > Primates > Hominidae > Homo > Homo sapiens. The sequence continues at coordinate 184,329 of NW_003315915.1, read as the reverse complement.
TTTTTATCTGATCACACATACATTTTATTCATTCTGACAAAGACACTATTTAGCCAAACTTTAGTGAGGCTCCTGAACTTCTTCCTAAGCCCAACTGTGTTCTTCCTTGTAAGATATAGTTTTAGCAAACAATCCTACTATGTTAATTTAGCAAGAACCCCCAACCTTTAATACTTGATCATCTTTTACATCTAATCAGTTTTTTCATCCTCTACTATCCCCCACATTATGTCTGATTATTCTGAACTATCTTCAGCAAAAATCTGGTTAGGTTGGCTTAGCCAGAATTCCCGTTACCCCCGATGTCTCATTTTAGTAATTTCCCATTCACTAACCATACACTACTTTTTGGTTATAAATTCCGGCATATCCATGCTGTATTTAAAGCTGAGCTCAATCTCTCTTCCTGAGTGCAAAATCATATTGCAGTGGTCTGTACACCTATTGCAATGATCTTGAATAGAGTCTTCCTGACGATGCTTTACCAAGTATCAATGAATAATGCTTTTGTTAACAGTTCTCTTTCTCTAGAGAATTATAACTAATACATTCACATTTTTTGTTCTCTTTTGGCTTTAGATAATGCTCATTTGCACTAGTAAGTGTGATCTTTTTGATGTACAGTCTACCAATTCAAGTACTAATCCATCTTGAAACACCTCACAGACACACCTAGAAATAAGGTTTTACCAGCTATCTGGGCATCACTTAGCCCAGTCAAACTGACACAAAATTAACCATCACACTATGAAATTTACTTTGTACCCCCCATTATTTGTTTAATCCTTAGTACACAGAAGGCATTCAAAATATGACGGTAAATGAAGAGTACTATCATTTTGACCCTCACATTTTCTATCTAATAAGTGTTTTCACTACATGCCTATAAAACCAAATATTTTAATGCAAATAATATTAACATTGATGAGTTTTCTTTCAGAAATATTTTTGCAGTAAACTCTATTGAACATTTTTAAACTCTTAATTTATTTTCCTTGAAATATAGATCATTTTACTTTGCTTTTTCAGTTTTTCTGAGAACAATGGTTTTATTTTCAGATTTTAAAAAATTTTGAGCACTAATATTTCTATTTAGTTATTTATCAATTATGCTCTCAGCCATTTTTAAGTTTCCTTTTAGGACCATTATTTTGTGCCATTTTTCCAAGCCCAACAATGTCAAAAATGTTTTATTACTTTTTCAATAATATCAGTTTTTATAATTGACAAATACCAATGCCTATTGATGTTTTATAAAGGTTCATTTTATTTGGGATCAGGTAAAAAATTATCCACTAAAGTAAAGCAAAGTTATGTTTCTGGTACTTCTTTTTTAAAGTTTGTATTAATAATGTGATATCACTTTTATTTAACTAAAAACATTCTTCATCTCTTTTTCAATGAATGGTACTGCCCATGCATCCAGTTATATAGACAAGAAGCAGCAGGCATCATCCTTCCTACTTTCTTCCAGTTAAAATCCCCATATCTTGTCCATCACTAAATATTTTAGAAATTACCTCCAAAATACATTTGAGTTAAGCCCACCCATTAAAGCTCTACTTCGACACGTAATTACCCATCCTGTTTTGCAAAATTATCCTAATAGGCCACTTTCAGTCTCCTCCTCTAATCTATTCACTTTATGCTGAACCCCAAATCTTTTTTCTTCTCCCAAATTCAAGTTGATTTTCCCGCAACTTAAAATATTCTGAGATATCATTTGGTATCAATCATATCTGAACTGCTACACGTTGTGGAATATGAAAAGAAAAAGCTAAATAAAATGCATTGTTGAGATTCATGTCACATTGCTGTTAAGAATCATTTTCACTTTTTTTCTGATGACTCAAGAAATAATTTTGTTTCAAACCTCAATATCATTAATAGATGTGTGTATTGTTTGTTTACATATTGGTCTTTCTAACTATGAGTTCAAACATGACAACTATTTTTGTTAACACAAGGATAAAACATAAGTGATACTATGTATCTATTGTCAGGCATTTCTTCTGTCAGCTACACCAATATTAAAAAAAAACAACGTTTTTTAGTGATTTCCTCTTTGACCGCTGTCATCTTTCTGTGTGTACTATTATTACCTTAATATTCTTTTGATATTTTCAGAATATGTAGTAAAGTCATTTATCCTTGATATTGGTGATGTACTTCTTACTCTTTTTCAGGATAAATGTGGCTATAGATTTATTAAACTTATAGGTCTTCACAAAAACTGCTTTTGGTTTTATTGATTTTTTTCTATTGGTTTTCTGTTTTCAATATGATTGAGGTTTAATTGACATTTGTATTGTGTAGATGCACATGAAATTCTAATAAATAATACAAAGAGGTCCTGTGTATAATCTGCTCATCTTTCCCCAATGATAAAAGTTTACAAAACTATAGTACAATATCAAATCTGGGATATTGACTTTCGTATCATCCATTTATCTTATCCAGGTTTCCTTTTTTTTACTTTTACACGTGTGTGTGTGTGAGAGAGAGAGAGAGTTGTGGTGTGCGTGTGTGTGTGTGTGTGTGTGTGTAGATATTCAAATCTATACAACCTTATTATATGTGTAGGTTCATGCATGCAGCACCACAATCATGATACTGAAGAGTTCCAGCACCATAAGGATTAAGTATTCCTCCTGTTGTCCTTTTATAATACTCTCTCTCTCTCTTTCCAAACTTACCCCCTTCCTAACTCCTTAGCACCACTAATCAGTTCCCTTCTAAAACTATCATTTTCAAAATGTTATATGACTGGAATCATTGAAATTGTCTCTTTTTACTCAGTATAATTTTTTTTATTCATGAAAGTTGCTGTATTTCAATATTTCATTGCTGAATACTATTCTATGGTATATACAGTATTTACCAAATTTTGTTTAGCCATTCACCATTGAAGAATAGCTGAACTGTTCTGAGTTTGGAGCTATTATGAGGAAAGCTGCTCTGAATAGATTTTTAATGTGAAAATAAGGGTTAATTTATCTGAGATGAATGTCCAAGTGCATTTTATTCCTGGTACTGGTGATTGTATCTTCTGTCTTTTTTCCTTAAATTTTTGGTCAGTCTTGCTAGAATGTCATTGATTTAAAAAAAAAAAAACTAACTTTTTGTTTCATTGAATTTCTCTACTATTTTTCTATTTTCAATTTCATTGATTTCTGCTTGTATCTTATTATCTACTTCCTTATGGTTGCTTTGAGTTTATTTTACTGTTCTTTTACTAATTTCCTGATGTAGGAACTTAGATTTTTAGAGTCTAAGACTTTATGTGTTTATAATGTAAACACTTAATGCTATAAATTTCTCTCTTGGCACTGCTTTAGCTGTATCCCATATATTTTAATTTGCTATATGTTCATTTTTATTAAGTTCTATGTGCATTTTTAATATATTTTAAGAATTACTCAGACACATCTGTTTTTAGAAATCGCTTTTTTAATTTACACATTTAAATAAATTTTTCTGTTATTTTTCTGTTACTGATGTTTAGTTGCATTCCATATGGTCAGAGAATAAACTCTGTATAACATTAGTAATTTTACTTTTGCTGACACTTGTATGACTCAGGATATACCCTATTTTGGTGAATATTCCATAGGCACCTAAAAATGTGTATTTTTCTTTTGTTGTGTGAAGTGTTTTATTCATATCAGTTAGATCCTGGTGATTGATTATGTTCTTCGGAACATCTATGCAGTGAATGATTTTCTGTCTAGTAGTTCTGTCAGTTGCTTAGGGTGACTAATGTAGTCTCCAACTCTAATTATGGATTCGTCTATTTCCTTTTTAGCTCTATCAGTTTTGCTTCAAATATTGAACACTTGTCTTTGCCTGAAAATGTCTTTCTTTCCTGTTCTTTCGAAAATGATAGTTTTGCCAGATATAGAATTTATAGTTGACAGGATCTTTGTTTGAGCTCCTAAAAGACATTTTGCCACTTTCTTCTGGCTTTCATGGTTTAAAATGAGAAATGTGCTATCACCAGGATTGATTTTCCCCCACAGATGAAGTATTATTTCTCTCTGGCTGTCTACAAAATTTTTTTCTTTGTTTTTAAATTTTTTAAGATTAATTTGTTCATTGGGATGAATCTTTATCGGGTTTGAATTTTGCTCAGACTCTTGGTTCTGTAGGTTTGTTTTTGTTAAAAATTTGAGAAATTTTCAGTGATTCTTTGAATATTTTTTCAAATCAATTCTCTTTCTTATTATGAAACCTATGTAATATAAATGTTGGAATTTTGTTATTATCCCACAGGCCACTGAGGCTATATTCTTTTTTTTCTTTATCTTTTTTAGTTACTGTTTTCTCTATAATTCAGATTGGGTGAATTCTATTGATTTGTTCTCAAGTTCACTGATTCTATCCTATTCAATCTCCATTTTATTGTTACTATCCAGAGAGTTGTTTCTTATTAAACTTATTTCTTTTATTGCATTTTTCAGTCCTACTATTTCCATCACATTGCTGACATTTTCAGTTTTTTTCATTTGTTTTAAGTGGGTGTGTGATTAATTGATGCATTTCTATAATGGTTAGTTTAAAATACCTGTCACGTAATTTCAATATCTGTTTCTTCTTTGTCCTCTTGTCTACTGTTTTTTCTTATTCAAGTTGTGATTTTCGTGGTTCTTGGTATGATGGATGATTTTCAATTACATTACAGACAATTTGCATATTATGTTAAAAGACTCTGGGTCCTAATTAAATCTCTTATTTTAACAGACATCCATCCTGTTTATGTTTAGAATTAAAGTCCTAGCCTACTTGGTGGGATGTGGTTCTAAATAGTTTAATTTTTAGATATTTTTATGGTATTCTTTTTGTCTCTTTGACTTACCTCTTGACACTAATATTGCCACTGGTCTCTACCAGTGCTGCCTGAAGAAGCAGAAGTGTTTTTCTAGGCCAGGTTACTGAGTGTCTTTCAGTAGGAGAGGGGAGTTGCAGGCCTATGGGGATAAAGAGGATTCTCTAGCTTAGTGTTTGTTGTGGTAGAATCACCTTTGCCTATAGAGAACCAAGAACATTTCCTCATGGGTGCTTATTGTTGCAGAATCACCTACTACTGGTACTTCTACATTCTAGTCTTTGCTGTAGGAGGGGTTTATTTGGCTTGTAGAGGCAAAGAGATTTCCAGAACCAGGCTGTTTGTTGTAGGATCCTTTCCCTGCCTTTGGGTGATGAAGAACACTTCCTGGGTCAGGCACTTACTATGTGGAAGAACTCTCTCAGGCACTCCTTGCTACAGCACTGTTTATGGGTAGGAGAGAAATAAGCTTACTTGAACTGCTTTCTGTTGATAGGTTGGTGGTTGGGAAAGATCCGGTCAAGATCCCCTACTTCTACTTAGTGGGAAGATATAAGATTGTGTGGTGCTACATTCTTCTTCCGTTCATGGAGTGTCAACCCAGTTTACTTTATTCCTAGTACTTTTTGGATTCAACTTTGTTTGCCTCTTTCTTTATTTGCAGTATTTATAATGTTACTTAGTGGAGAGGAGAATTGAGCATTGTATCTATGCTATCATGTCTGATCTGTAAGTTTATTGATTTTTACTCTGAAATTTATTATTTCTTTTCTTTGACTTATTTTCAGAATAATCTGATTGTCTGCTTTCTTAAGATGGAAGCTGAGATTATTAATATGATACCGTTCTCATCTTCTAATATAGATATTCAATGCTGCTATGGTTTCAATTGTTGTGTCCCCTTCAAAATTTATGTTGAAATTTAATCCCTAGTGCAACAGTAGTAAGTAATGGGAACTTTAAGACGTGATTAGGCCATGAGAGTTCTGGTCTCATATGTGGAATCAGTGCATTATTAAAAAAATGCCTGGGAGAGCTATCCAGACCTCCTTTGTTGCCCTTCCATACTGTCTACCACATGAGGACACAGTATTCACCTCCTTTCAAAGACATAACAACAAGGAGCTATCTTGGAAACAGAAAGCGGTCCTCTCCATATATTAGATCAACTGACTCTTTGAGATTTTTCATAGTTCTGGAATTCTCAGCTTCCAGAACTGTGAAAAAATTCTGTTGTTTATAAATAACACATTTTATGATATTTTGTTATTGCAGCACAAATGGATAAAGACAAGTCTTAAAAAGTCTCTCTTATTTGCAGCTTTAGTGTTGTCCCACAAATATTGATAGGTGTTTTTGTTTTCTTTTATCTCATATTTACATTGTAAATTCCTTTTTGGTATACCCTTTGGTAAGGATTATTTAGAATTGTGTTAGTTTCCAAAGATCTGTGTATTTTATAAATATTGTTGAGTTATTCATTTCTAGTTTAATTACATGGGTGTCAGATAACATGCTTTGTATGACTTGAATACTTTTCAATTTATTGAGACTTGTTTTACTACTCAAAGTGTTGTCTATCTTGATAAATGCTTTTTGTGCACTTGAAAATATGAATTCTGCTGTTACTGAGTAAAGTGTTACATAAATGTCAATGGGTCTAGTTGATTGATGATGTTAAAATCCTGATTCTTATTGATTTTGTTTACTTGTTCTACAAATAAATGAAAGAAGGGTATTAAAAATTTTAACAATACTTGGGGATTTGTCAGTTTTCCTTGCAATTCTATTGTTGCTTCATCTATTTTGCATCTCTGATATTAGATACACTAAATTTCAGAATTACATGTCCTTTTGATAAACTAACTCCTTTGTCATCATAAAATAAGATTCTTATTTTCTGGTAATACACTTTGCTAGAAATCTACTGTCATCACCTGACATGTGAGTCAGCAAAAAAAAGAAAGAAAAAAAGCTACTTTGTCAGATAGACAAGTGTTAGTATCATGTTTCCTTTTAGCTAATTTATGTCTTTATATTTAAATTATGTTCCTTGTAAGAAACATAGGACTCCATCAAATATGGCAATCTATGTCTTTCAATTGATTCCTTTAGACCATTTGTATTTAATGTGATTACTGATAAAAGTAGCTTTAGGTATGTCATCTTGCTATTTATTTTCTTTTGAAATATCTATATTTTGCCTCCATTTTAAAGGATTACACCATTACATATATATAATTCTAAATTGATATTTCTTATTTTTTAATAGTCAAAAAATCATCTTAATGTCATTCATCATTAATTTTTCTGGTGAGGTCAACTGTGCCTCAATATTTTCATTTACCATATGTAAGATATCTTTTCCTTATGAATAATGTTATGAATTTATCTTTAGTTTTCAGTTTGAAATGATGTAACTCTATATGTTGTTTTACATACCTATCCTTTTTGAGGGCTCCTGAGCTTCTTGGATTCAGATTGATGTATTTTTTTAATTTTTAGAAAAATTTCAGTGATTTAGTTAATCTTTTCTATAGCTCTTTCTTTTTTTATCTCTGGTCACAGGCATTTTATACTGCTTAACATTTTCTCACTAATATTGGATTCTCTGTGTATTCTTTTATTTCACTCATCTTTTTTTCTATTTGTTTTATATTTTAATTTGATTACTTCTATTGATTTTTCTAAGTCTATTGATTTTTTCTACTGCAAAATTTATTCTACTGTTAAGACTATCTACATAAATCTTAATTTTTGATACATTTTGTTTTTACCAATTTTATTTTTAACATACTCTTTTTATATTAAAATATGGAATTGTAAAATAATAGCATTTTTACGTCTCTGCTGCAAATTCCCATAACTTGATAAATACTGATCACCATTTCCACTAGATGTTTCTATATTTATATAATTGTTATTTTAAAGCTCCTCCCTTATAATGCCACAAGTTTAACCATTTCTGGATCTGCTTTTGTTGTCTCTTTCTCACTCTTTTTTTTTTCTTTAGCATGAGTTACATTTTTTTGCTCCTTTCCATGTCTTATTGATTCAAATTGCATGCTGGGTGTTTTGCATCAAATAACAATAGAGACTGAGGTAAGCAATATTTACTTTCAGAAAAAGGTATGCTCCTTCATGTGTCTTGATTTTTATTGTAATATTGGTGGTGATGGGCAAGAATATGTTAGTCTAAAGAGGGCTGGGTTCAATCATTGTTGCATCTTTGTGTGACTCATTTCACCACTGGCTCCACAAAGTTTAAGAACAAGATCAAAATTTTTTCTTCTTGGACTATGTGCTATGATCACTAGTATAATTCCAGTGCTATTTTGTGATTTACAGCTAAGCCACCAGTGTTATGAACTATAGTATATCTGTGTATGCTCTACACTATATCTGCTAACCTTCTGGACCACTGGGAGTTCTCATTGCTCTCAGTCATGTCCCAGGAATTCTTTACAGGTTGAGAGCTTTCTTGTCTCTGGAAAAGCCTTAGAGGTATGTCTCAGATTTATTGTTCACATACAGCACTTGGGAACATGTTGATTTCTCTCAGCTTTCTTGTTTTTTCACCTCATTTTCAGTACCAGGTAAGCCAGTAAATTGAGACCTCTTATGTCCCAGACATCACTTTTCCTACCTCAATCTCTGGAATGCCGGACTAAAGGAATGTCAATAGAAGACGGTGGATGGGTAAAAGTGAACTACTTGATCAGGGCTCTTCTAACATCTAGTATGTCACAATCACAAACACACTTAAAAATTTTTGAAATGGTAATCCCAGCACTTTGGGCAGCTGAGGCGGGAGGATCACTTGAGACCACGAGTTGGAAACCAGCCTCGGCAACATAGTGGGACCCTATCTCTCTTTAAAAAAAAAAAAAAAAAAAAAATTAGTTAACCAGGCCTGATGGCACATGCCTGTAGTACCAGCTACTGGAGAAGCCGGGAGGTGGAGGGGGCTGAGGTGGAAGGATGGCTTGAGCCTGGAAGGTTGAGGCTACAGTGAGTCATGAGTGCACACCACTACACTCCAGCCTGGGCAACAGAGTGAAATACTGTGTAAAAAGAAAAAAGAAAAGGAGGGGAAAGGAAAGAAAATGAAGGAAAAGAAGAAAAGAAAAAAGAAAGAGAAGAAGAAAGGAAGAAAGAAAGAAATTGTTGAAATATTGGTTGTTTAGTTATTTAACTCCACTTTTGGGTCTACGTTAGATTATTTCTTCTCTTGCTGTCCTGCTGGGCATGAAAACAGCCATGAATCTCTTATTTTTTATGGAGAGTCCATTCTATTCTAGAGTTTAGTGAGGAAACTGTAAACTCAGTTTGCACATGGGTTCAGGAAAACTATGACTCATTAGCTTACTTGTCTTGCTTTGGTTGTAAGGATGAATGTTATTATCTCTTTTGACTTTCTTCGTCCTGTGTGAAACAGCAACCCCAAATTCCAAGATACATTTAAATTCATTTAGGGTTCTGAAATCTAAGATTCAAAATCTACTTTTCAGAAGTGAATTTTGACCATATACTTGATATTCAGGAAGATAAAGACAACTATAACTTTGAATTCATAGTTGTATCTTTAAAAAATAACCCAGAACATTCTATGCTTACTATATGAGTCAAAATGATACTTTTAAAACATGAGTTAGATCATATTACACCTCTGTACAAAATATTCCAGTAGTATCTTGTTTCACTCGGAGGAAAATTTAAAGGCCTTACAATGGCTTAAAACTTTTTAAAATGTGAACTCTATTTCTTGCCCATTTCTTTAAACTCATTTAAAATCACTCTTCTATAGGTTTGCACTGATAAAACCAATATTCTTGATATTCCTCAAATACACCCAAAACACGCCCTCCCCAACCTCCCCGCCCAACACACACACTGCCACTGCAAATGGCACTTGCGTTTCAGTTTTCTCTACCTGGAATGTTCTTCCCTCAGATAACTGCATGTCTCTCACTTTTGCCTCCTTCATGTTTCCGTTCAAAAATTTTTTTTTTCAACAAGGTATCTTGCTTTGTCCATTCTACTTAAAATAGTAATGACCCAACCTTGTAATTTTATCCCTTTTATTTGCTTTATTTTTTCCCCAGAGAACTTATCAGAATTTAAAAGATTACCTACGTTACTTGTTTGTGTGGTTATTATCTGTTTCTCCATAATAGAATGTAAGTTCATTTAAGGTAGGATTCTTTTAAAAAATATAATTAATTTATTTATTTATTTTGAGATGGAGTCTCGCTCTGTCACCCAGGCTGGAGTGCAGTAGGTGAGGGGAGTTGCAGGCCTATGGGGATAAAGAGGATTCTCTAGCTTAGTGTTTGTTGTGGTAGAATCACCTTTGCCTATAGAGAACCAAGAACATTTCCTCATGGGTGCTTATTGTTGCAGAATCACCTACTACTGGTACTTCTACATTCTAGTCTTTGCTGTAGGAGGGGTTTATTTGGCTTGTAGAGGCAAAGAGATTTCCAGAACCAGGCTGTTTGTTGTAGGATCCTTTCCCTGCCTTTGGGTGATGAAGAACACTTCCTGGGTCAGGCACTTACTATGTGGAAGAACTCTCTCAGGCACTCCTTGCTACAGCACTGTTTATGGGTAGGAGAGAAATAAGCTTACTTGAACTGCTTTCTGTTGATAGGTTGGTGGTTGGGAAAGATCCGGTCAAGATCCCCTACTTCTACTTAGTGGGAAGATATAAGATTGTGTGGTGCTACATTCTTCTTCCGTTCATGGAGTGTCAACCCAGTTTACTTTATTCCTAGTACTTTTTGGATTCAACTTTGTTTGCCTCTTTCTTTATTTGCAGTATTTATAATGTTACTTAGTGGAGAGGAGAATTGAGCATTGTATCTATGCTATCATGTCTGATCTGTAAGTTTATTGATTTTTACTCTGAAATTTATTATTTCTTTTCTTTGACTTATTTTCAGAATAATCTGATTGTCTGCTTTCTTAAGATGGAAGCTGAGATTATTAATATGATACCGTTCTCATCTTCTAATATAGATATTCAATGCTGCTATGGTTTCAATTGTTGTGTCCCCTTCAAAATTTATGTTGAAATTTAATCCCTAGTGCAACAGTAGTAAGTAATGGGAACTTTAAGACGTGATTAGGCCATGAGAGTTCTGGTCTCATATGTGGAATCAGTGCATTATTAAAAAAATGCCTGGGAGAGCTATCCAGACCTCCTTTGTTGCCCTTCCATACTGTCTACCACATGAGGACACAGTATTCACCTCCTTTCAAAGACATAACAACAAGGAGCTATCTTGGAAACAGAAAGCGGTCCTCTCCATATATTAGATCAACTGACTCTTTGAGATTTTTCATAGTTCTGGAATTCTCAGCTTCCAGAACTGTGAAAAAATTCTGTTGTTTATAAATAACACATTTTATGATATTTTGTTATTGCAGCACAAATGGATAAAGACAAGTCTTAAAAAGTCTCTCTTATTTGCAGCTTTAGTGTTGTCCCACAAATATTGATAGGTGTTTTTGTTTTCTTTTATCTCATATTTACATTGTAAATTCCTTTTTGGTATACCCTTTGGTAAGGATTATTTAGAATTGTGTTAGTTTCCAAAGATCTGTGTATTTTATAAATATTGTTGAGTTATTCATTTCTAGTTTAATTACATGGGTGTCAGATAACATGCTTTGTATGACTTGAATACTTTTCAATTTATTGAGACTTGTTTTACTACTCAAAGTGTTGTCTATCTTGATAAATGCTTTTTGTGCACTTGAAAATATGAATTCTGCTGTTACTGAGTAAAGTGTTACATAAATGTCAATGGGTCTAGTTGATTGATGATGTTAAAATCCTGATTCTTATTGATTTTGTTTACTTGTTCTACAAATAAATGAAAGAAGGGTATTAAAAATTTTAACAATACTTGGGGATTTGTCAGTTTTCCTTGCAATTCTATTGTTGCTTCATCTATTTTGCATCTCTGATATTAGATACACTAAATTTCAGAATTACATGTCCTTTTGATAAACTAACTCCTTTGTCATCATAAAATAAGATTCTTATTTTCTGGTAATACACTTTGCTAGAAATCTACTGTCATCACCTGACATGTGAGTCAGCAAAAAAAAGAAAGAAAAAAAGCTACTTTGTCAGATAGACAAGTGTTAGTATCATGTTTCCTTTTAGCTAATTTATGTCTTTATATTTAAATTATGTTCCTTGTAAGAAACATAGGACTCCATCAAATATGGCAATCTATGTCTTTCAATTGATTCCTTTAGACCATTTGTATTTAATGTGATTACTGATAAAAGTAGCTTTAGGTATGTCATCTTGCTATTTATTTTCTTTTGAAATATCTATATTTTGCCTCCATTTTAAAGGATTACACCATTACATATATATAATTCTAAATTGATATTTCTTATTTTTTAATAGTCAAAAAATCATCTTAATGTCATTCATCATTAATTTTTCTGGTGAGGTCAACTGTGCCTCAATATTTTCATTTACCATATGTAAGATATCTTTTCCTTATGAATAATGTTATGAATTTATCTTTAGTTTTCAGTTTGAAATGATGTAACTCTATATGTTGTTTTACATACCTATCCTTTTTGAGGGCTCCTGAGCTTCTTGGATTCAGATTGATGTATTTTTTTAATTTTTAGAAAAATTTCAGTGATTTAGTTAATCTTTTCTATAGCTCTTTCTTTTTTTATCTCTGGTCACAGGCATTTTATACTGCTTAACATTTTCTCACTAATATTGGATTCTCTGTGTATTCTTTTATTTCACTCATCTTTTTTTCTATTTGTTTTATATTTTAATTTGATTACTTCTATTGATTTTTCTAAGTCTATTGATTTTTTCTACTGCAAAATTTATTCTACTGTTAAGACTATCTACATAAATCTTAATTTTTGATACATTTTGTTTTTACCAATTTTATTTTTAACATACTCTTTTTATATTAAAATATGGAATTGTAAAATAATAGCATTTTTACGTCTCTGCTGCAAATTCCCATAACTTGATAAATACTGATCACCATTTCCACTAGATGTTTCTATATTTATATAATTGTTATTTTAAAGCTCCTCCCTTATAATGCCACAAGTTTAACCATTTCTGGATCTGCTTTTGTTGTCTCTTTCTCACTCTTTTTTTTTTCTTTAGCATGAGTTACATTTTTTTGCTCCTTTCCATGTCTTATTGATTCAAATTGCATGCTGGGTGTTTTGCATCAAATAACAATAGAGACTGAGGTAAGCAATATTTACTTTCAGAAAAAGGTATGCTCCTTCATGTGTCTTGATTTTTATTGTAATATTGGTGGTGATGGGCAAGAATATGTTAGTCTAAAGAGGGCTGGGTTCAATCATTGTTGCATCTTTGTGTGACTCATTTCACCACTGGCTCCACAAAGTTTAAGAACAAGATCAAAATTTTTTCTTCTTGGACTATGTGCTATGATCACTAGTATAATTCCAGTGCTATTTTGTGATTTACAGCTAAGCCACCAGTGTTATGAACTATAGTATATCTGTGTATGCTCTACACTATATCTGCTAACCTTCTGGACCACTGGGAGTTCTCATTGCTCTCAGTCATGTCCCAGGAATTCTTTACAGGTTGAGAGCTTTCTTGTCTCTGGAAAAGCCTTAGAGGTATGTCTCAGATTTATTGTTCACATACAGCACTTGGGAACATGTTGATTTCTCTCAGCTTTCTTGTTTTTTCACCTCATTTTCAGTACCAGGTAAGCCAGTAAATTGAGACCTCTTATGTCCCAGACATCACTTTTCCTACCTCAATCTCTGGAATGCCGGACTAAAGGAATGTCAATAGAAGACGGTGGATGGGTAAAAGTGAACTACTTGATCAGGGCTCTTCTAACATCTAGTATGTCACAATCACAAACACACTTAAAAATTTTTGAAATGGTAATCCCAGCACTTTGGGCAGCTGAGGCGGGAGGATCACTTGAGACCACGAGTTGGAAACCAGCCTCGGCAACATAGTGGGACCCTATCTCTCTTTAAAAAAAAAAAAAAAAAAAAAATTAGTTAACCAGGCCTGATGGCACATGCCTGTAGTACCAGCTACTGGAGAAGCCGGGAGGTGGAGGGGGCTGAGGTGGAAGGATGGCTTGAGCCTGGAAGGTTGAGGCTACAGTGAGTCATGAGTGCACACCACTACACTCCAGCCTGGGCAACAGAGTGAAATACTGTGTAAAAAGAAAAAAGAAAAGGAGGGGAAAGGAAAGAAAATGAAGGAAAAGAAGAAAAGAAAAAAGAAAGAGAAGAAGAAAGGAAGAAAGAAAGAAATTGTTGAAATATTGGTTGTTTAGTTATTTAACTCCACTTTTGGGTCTACGTTAGATTATTTCTTCTCTTGCTGTCCTGCTGGGCATGAAAACAGCCATGAATCTCTTATTTTTTATGGAGAGTCCATTCTATTCTAGAGTTTAGTGAGGAAACTGTAAACTCAGTTTGCACATGGGTTCAGGAAAACTATGACTCATTAGCTTACTTGTCTTGCTTTGGTTGTAAGGATGAATGTTATTATCTCTTTTGACTTTCTTCGTCCTGTGTGAAACAGCAACCCCAAATTCCAAGATACATTTAAATTCATTTAGGGTTCTGAAATCTAAGATTCAAAATCTACTTTTCAGAAGTGAATTTTGACCATATACTTGATATTCAGGAAGATAAAGACAACTATAACTTTGAATTCATAGTTGTATCTTTAAAAAATAACCCAGAACATTCTATGCTTACTATATGAGTCAAAATGATACTTTTAAAACATGAGTTAGATCATATTACACCTCTGTACAAAATATTCCAGTAGTATCTTGTTTCACTCGGAGGAAAATTTAAAGGCCTTACAATGGCTTAAAACTTTTTAAAATGTGAACTCTATTTCTTGCCCATTTCTTTAAACTCATTTAAAATCACTCTTCTATAGGTTTGCACTGATAAAACCAATATTCTTGATATTCCTCAAATACACCCAAAACACGCCCTCCCCAACCTCCCCGCCCAACACACACACTGCCACTGCAAATGGCACTTGCGTTTCAGTTTTCTCTACCTGGAATGTTCTTCCCTCAGATAACTGCATGTCTCTCACTTTTGCCTCCTTCATGTTTCCGTTCAAAAATTTTTTTTTTCAACAAGGTATCTTGCTTTGTCCATTCTACTTAAAATAGTAATGACCCAACCTTGTAATTTTATCCCTTTTATTTGCTTTATTTTTTCCCCAGAGAACTTATCAGAATTTAAAAGATTACCTACGTTACTTGTTTGTGTGGTTATTATCTGTTTCTCCATAATAGAATGTAAGTTCATTTAAGGTAGGATTCTTTTAAAAAATATAATTAATTTATTTATTTATTTTGAGATGGAGTCTCGCTCTGTCACCCAGGCTGGAGTGCAGTAGGTGAGGGGAGTTGCAGGCCTATGGGGATAAAGAGGATTCTCTAGCTTAGTGTTTGTTGTGGTAGAATCACCTTTGCCTATAGAGAACCAAGAACATTTCCTCATGGGTGCTTATTGTTGCAGAATCACCTACTACTGGTACTTCTACATTCTAGTCTTTGCTGTAGGAGGGGTTTATTTGGCTTGTAGAGGCAAAGAGATTTCCAGAACCAGGCTGTTTGTTGTAGGATCCTTTCCCTGCCTTTGGGTGATGAAGAACACTTCCTGGGTCAGGCACTTACTATGTGGAAGAACTCTCTCAGGCACTCCTTGCTACAGCACTGTTTATGGGTAGGAGAGAAATAAGCTTACTTGAACTGCTTTCTGTTGATAGGTTGGTGGTTGGGAAAGATCCGGTCAAGATCCCCTACTTCTACTTAGTGGGAAGATATAAGATTGTGTGGTGCTACATTCTTCTTCCGTTCATGGAGTGTCAACCCAGTTTACTTTATTCCTAGTACTTTTTGGATTCAACTTTGTTTGCCTCTTTCTTTATTTGCAGTATTTATAATGTTACTTAGTGGAGAGGAGAATTGAGCATTGTATCTATGCTATCATGTCTGATCTGTAAGTTTATTGATTTTTACTCTGAAATTTATTATTTCTTTTCTTTGACTTATTTTCAGAATAATCTGATTGTCTGCTTTCTTAAGATGGAAGCTGAGATTATTAATATGATACCGTTCTCATCTTCTAATATAGATATTCAATGCTGCTATGGTTTCAATTGTTGTGTCCCCTTCAAAATTTATGTTGAAATTTAATCCCTAGTGCAACAGTAGTAAGTAATGGGAACTTTAAGACGTGATTAGGCCATGAGAGTTCTGGTCTCATATGTGGAATCAGTGCATTATTAAAAAAATGCCTGGGAGAGCTATCCAGACCTCCTTTGTTGCCCTTCCATACTGTCTACCACATGAGGACACAGTATTCACCTCCTTTCAAAGACATAACAACAAGGAGCTATCTTGGAAACAGAAAGCGGTCCTCTCCATATATTAGATCAACTGACTCTTTGAGATTTTTCATAGTTCTGGAATTCTCAGCTTCCAGAACTGTGAAAAAATTCTGTTGTTTATAAATAACACATTTTATGATATTTTGTTATTGCAGCACAAATGGATAAAGACAAGTCTTAAAAAGTCTCTCTTATTTGCAGCTTTAGTGTTGTCCCACAAATATTGATAGGTGTTTTTGTTTTCTTTTATCTCATATTTACATTGTAAATTCCTTTTTGGTATACCCTTTGGTAAGGATTATTTAGAATTGTGTTAGTTTCCAAAGATCTGTGTATTTTATAAATATTGTTGAGTTATTCATTTCTAGTTTAATTACATGGGTGTCAGATAACATGCTTTGTATGACTTGAATACTTTTCAATTTATTGAGACTTGTTTTACTACTCAAAGTGTTGTCTATCTTGATAAATGCTTTTTGTGCACTTGAAAATATGAATTCTGCTGTTACTGAGTAAAGTGTTACATAAATGTCAATGGGTCTAGTTGATTGATGATGTTAAAATCCTGATTCTTATTGATTTTGTTTACTTGTTCTACAAATAAATGAAAGAAGGGTATTAAAAATTTTAACAATACTTGGGGATTTGTCAGTTTTCCTTGCAATTCTATTGTTGCTTCATCTATTTTGCATCTCTGATATTAGATACACTAAATTTCAGAATTACATGTCCTTTTGATAAACTAACTCCTTTGTCATCATAAAATAAGATTCTTATTTTCTGGTAATACACTTTGCTAGAAATCTACTGTCATCACCTGACATGTGAGTCAGCAAAAAAAAGAAAGAAAAAAAGCTACTTTGTCAGATAGACAAGTGTTAGTATCATGTTTCCTTTTAGCTAATTTATGTCTTTATATTTAAATTATGTTCCTTGTAAGAAACATAGGACTCCATCAAATATGGCAATCTATGTCTTTCAATTGATTCCTTTAGACCATTTGTATTTAATGTGATTACTGATAAAAGTAGCTTTAGGTATGTCATCTTGCTATTTATTTTCTTTTGAAATATCTATATTTTGCCTCCATTTTAAAGGATTACACCATTACATATATATAATTCTAAATTGATATTTCTTATTTTTTAATAGTCAAAAAATCATCTTAATGTCATTCATCATTAATTTTTCTGGTGAGGTCAACTGTGCCTCAATATTTTCATTTACCATATGTAAGATATCTTTTCCTTATGAATAATGTTATGAATTTATCTTTAGTTTTCAGTTTGAAATGATGTAACTCTATATGTTGTTTTACATACCTATCCTTTTTGAGGGCTCCTGAGCTTCTTGGATTCAGATTGATGTATTTTTTTAATTTTTAGAAAAATTTCAGTGATTTAGTTAATCTTTTCTATAGCTCTTTCTTTTTTTATCTCTGGTCACAGGCATTTTATACTGCTTAACATTTTCTCACTAATATTGGATTCTCTGTGTATTCTTTTATTTCACTCATCTTTTTTTCTATTTGTTTTATATTTTAATTTGATTACTTCTATTGATTTTTCTAAGTCTATTGATTTTTTCTACTGCAAAATTTATTCTACTGTTAAGACTATCTACATAAATCTTAATTTTTGATACATTTTGTTTTTACCAATTTTATTTTTAACATACTCTTTTTATATTAAAATATGGAATTGTAAAATAATAGCATTTTTACGTCTCTGCTGCAAATTCCCATAACTTGATAAATACTGATCACCATTTCCACTAGATGTTTCTATATTTATATAATTGTTATTTTAAAGCTCCTCCCTTATAATGCCACAAGTTTAACCATTTCTGGATCTGCTTTTGTTGTCTCTTTCTCACTCTTTTTTTTTTCTTTAGCATGAGTTACATTTTTTTGCTCCTTTCCATGTCTTATTGATTCAAATTGCATGCTGGGTGTTTTGCATCAAATAACAATAGAGACTGAGGTAAGCAATATTTACTTTCAGAAAAAGGTATGCTCCTTCATGTGTCTTGATTTTTATTGTAATATTGGTGGTGATGGGCAAGAATATGTTAGTCTAAAGAGGGCTGGGTTCAATCATTGTTGCATCTTTGTGTGACTCATTTCACCACTGGCTCCACAAAGTTTAAGAACAAGATCAAAATTTTTTCTTCTTGGACTATGTGCTATGATCACTAGTATAATTCCAGTGCTATTTTGTGATTTACAGCTAAGCCACCAGTGTTATGAACTATAGTATATCTGTGTATGCTCTACACTATATCTGCTAACCTTCTGGACCACTGGGAGTTCTCATTGCTCTCAGTCATGTCCCAGGAATTCTTTACAGGTTGAGAGCTTTCTTGTCTCTGGAAAAGCCTTAGAGGTATGTCTCAGATTTATTGTTCACATACAGCACTTGGGAACATGTTGATTTCTCTCAGCTTTCTTGTTTTTTCACCTCATTTTCAGTACCAGGTAAGCCAGTAAATTGAGACCTCTTATGTCCCAGACATCACTTTTCCTACCTCAATCTCTGGAATGCCGGACTAAAGGAATGTCAATAGAAGACGGTGGATGGGTAAAAGTGAACTACTTGATCAGGGCTCTTCTAACATCTAGTATGTCACAATCACAAACACACTTAAAAATTTTTGAAATGGTAATCCCAGCACTTTGGGCAGCTGAGGCGGGAGGATCACTTGAGACCACGAGTTGGAAACCAGCCTCGGCAACATAGTGGGACCCTATCTCTCTTTAAAAAAAAAAAAAAAAAAAAAATTAGTTAACCAGGCCTGATGGCACATGCCTGTAGTACCAGCTACTGGAGAAGCCGGGAGGTGGAGGGGGCTGAGGTGGAAGGATGGCTTGAGCCTGGAAGGTTGAGGCTACAGTGAGTCATGAGTGCACACCACTACACTCCAGCCTGGGCAACAGAGTGAAATACTGTGTAAAAAGAAAAAAGAAAAGGAGGGGAAAGGAAAGAAAATGAAGGAAAAGAAGAAAAGAAAAAAGAAAGAGAAGAAGAAAGGAAGAAAGAAAGAAATTGTTGAAATATTGGTTGTTTAGTTATTTAACTCCACTTTTGGGTCTACGTTAGATTATTTCTTCTCTTGCTGTCCTGCTGGGCATGAAAACAGCCATGAATCTCTTATTTTTTATGGAGAGTCCATTCTATTCTAGAGTTTAGTGAGGAAACTGTAAACTCAGTTTGCACATGGGTTCAGGAAAACTATGACTCATTAGCTTACTTGTCTTGCTTTGGTTGTAAGGATGAATGTTATTATCTCTTTTGACTTTCTTCGTCCTGTGTGAAACAGCAACCCCAAATTCCAAGATACATTTAAATTCATTTAGGGTTCTGAAATCTAAGATTCAAAATCTACTTTTCAGAAGTGAATTTTGACCATATACTTGATATTCAGGAAGATAAAGACAACTATAACTTTGAATTCATAGTTGTATCTTTAAAAAATAACCCAGAACATTCTATGCTTACTATATGAGTCAAAATGATACTTTTAAAACATGAGTTAGATCATATTACACCTCTGTACAAAATATTCCAGTAGTATCTTGTTTCACTCGGAGGAAAATTTAAAGGCCTTACAATGGCTTAAAACTTTTTAAAATGTGAACTCTATTTCTTGCCCATTTCTTTAAACTCATTTAAAATCACTCTTCTATAGGTTTGCACTGATAAAACCAATATTCTTGATATTCCTCAAATACACCCAAAACACGCCCTCCCCAACCTCCCCGCCCAACACACACACTGCCACTGCAAATGGCACTTGCGTTTCAGTTTTCTCTACCTGGAATGTTCTTCCCTCAGATAACTGCATGTCTCTCACTTTTGCCTCCTTCATGTTTCCGTTCAAAAATTTTTTTTTTCAACAAGGTATCTTGCTTTGTCCATTCTACTTAAAATAGTAATGACCCAACCTTGTAATTTTATCCCTTTTATTTGCTTTATTTTTTCCCCAGAGAACTTATCAGAATTTAAAAGATTACCTACGTTACTTGTTTGTGTGGTTATTATCTGTTTCTCCATAATAGAATGTAAGTTCATTTAAGGTAGGATTCTTTTAAAAAATATAATTAATTTATTTATTTATTTTGAGATGGAGTCTCGCTCTGTCACCCAGGCTGGAGTGCAGTGGAGCGATCTCGGCTCACTGCAACCTCTGGCCCCTGGTTTCAAGCTATTATCCTAAAGTAAGGTTCTTTTTTCTTTTGATAAGTGTTCTTTCTACTTTCCAAATCAATAACTTAACAAAAGAAAGGAAGAAAACAATGCAGTAAAGAACTGAAGAAAAGAAAAACAGAACAAGGGTGGAAAGAGGCAATAAAAGAAGAAAGGAATAAGGAAGGAAGAAAAAAATGGAAAAACACTGGGATCACAATTACAGAGAGAGAAAAAATAAATAAGCTATAAAGCTTAATATCCTTGGACCTAAATTTTTCAACATATGGGATGCTACTTGTAAATATATTTAAAACTTTCACAGGTTCATATTTTATCTTTTTATCATTTTATATAGAAGAGAGTATGGAGTTAAGTGAGTACTGTTGTTGATGTTGTATTTATTTGATTGATCAATTTTCTGGAAACAGAATCTGAAATGAAGACTTTCACAAAGTACAGAAGAGGAATGTAGGAGACATAGCTGTAAGAAATTAGGGAAGAGGCGCAGCGCAGTGGTTCACGCCTGTAATCCCAGCACTTTAGGAGGCCACGGTGGGCAGATCATGAGTTCTGGAGTTCGAGACCATCATGGCCAACATAGTGAAACTCCGTCTCTACCACAAATACAAAATTAGCCGGGCATGGTGGTGCACGCCTGTAGTCCCAGCTGCTCGAGAGGCTGAGGCAGGAGAATCGCTTGAACCTGGGAGGCAGAGGTTGTGGTGAGCTGAGATCAAGCCACTGCACTCCAGCCTGGGCAACAGGGTGAGACTCCCTCTAAAAAAAAAAAAAGGAAGAAGAAGAAGAAAAAAAGAAAGCACTTAGGGAAGAAAACATTGGCCAGAAGCTACTTAACAATGCAGTTGCAATGGAGGCGCACTGGGGGATGATTCTTTGCATTCCCCATCTAGACATTAATGAAGGCCGACCCTGGGAGGAGTAATAACATTGTTTTAAGCAGATCCTCATCCTGAGGATGAGGGCAATTCTAAATGGATGAAGTTATAATTGAACAGCAGTTGATATCTACTTTGACTAGGAGGTACATGTGTCTACCTTCCAGAGGATATGTGAGCAGAGCAACACAGTATCTGCCACACTGTGTTTTATTTTTTGTACCTTTCTGGAGTCTTATGCTCTGGGACAATGGTAATACTCAAATACACAAATAATCTGGAATGCTTATTAAAAAATACATATTTTGGCTACCCATAGATTTATCAGAAATTCATAATTTCAAGATAAAGAATCTCATTCTTAATCTACATCCCAAACTATGCTGACATCAGTGACAAGTGGTTCACATGGAAGGAAGACTCATCTCTATTGTGAACTCGTTGTGTATCTTATTATTCTTGTTTCTCCATTTTTGGTTACGTAACTACTTATTTAGAAGCATTTATTTTGATGACTAATTCGTGTATCAGTAGTAATACATCACCCAATGTTAATTAACAAAAACATTTCATTATTGGTGTAGAAATCATTTTAGAGTCAAACTCATTTTTTTCATTCAGAAGTAAAAATGCAGCCTGTTTTATCTTTATAAGTAGAATACATTAGTAGTAGAATATTAGAAAGGTTAAATAATGTTACTTTTCTGTCATAAATGGTAAAACATCACCCTGACCAATATGCCCTCCTACCCCAGGCCTTCTGCAAATGCAATAAAATCTCATTGATTATTAGAAGCAATAACTATTTTTAGCAGTATGTTTGTGAATGTCATTTCTTCTAACTGCTCACTCAGTATCTTATCAGAAGATGTTTGTGAAATGTGAATAGCTAAAATATAAGACTTACTTTTGAAGAAGAGATGTAATTTCATATGGTGTGTATGTGTTTTTTTTCTTGCTGAAGCAGTTAGCAGCTGCAGCAGGTATCATTGCAGAGATGAGTAGATACTTAGAAAAGCTTAGAGGCCCTTAGGGCATATTTTTATTCTAGGTCTTAGGTTGCAAAAGCAACTAATAGACAATATCAGGGGATAAATGCAAAAGTTGCATTCCCAACCTGAGTTGAAAACAGAGCGTATTTATTTTTTATCTTGAAAAACATTTTAGAAAGCCTGAAATCTGAGCCTGGCTTCAGAGGTTAACTGACCCCATTTGAACTTTTATCTTCTATTCTACTCTCTCTTTGCATCTCACATAGAGAAGATTGGTACTAAGCATCATTCCCTAATTTATAAAAGGCCAGTTGAAGTACATTGAGACCATGCTAAGACCATAAAAATGATGGGTATATTCAAATCTACCCCCAAAGGCTGAGGGAGCTGAGATGCTGAAGAAAGATGCTGAAAAAAAGCCAGTTTCTCAGAAATACATATTTAATAGGGACTTATGAACAGAAATGATATCTTGGGTGGTTGTGATACGGTGGATTTCGCAATCTCCTCTAGAGAATGTCCTTTAGATAGCAAGCATTTAGGGTAAAGACAAGTGCAGCTAGTTACATCTCAGACTTCCATGCTGTGACTTGTTACTTCCGGGGAAAAAGACCTTGCTTCAGAACACCGTGATACGCAGGAGTCAAACATTGGGCATTGTGATGGTTTTCCTCAAGATGGTGGCGTAGTCACTCGTGCCATGCAGCAGGCAGGCTGTTTTCCTGCGCTATTCAATAAGTGATTATATGTTCTTAATTATTGCCTCAACAGGACAAAAGTAAAATAAAATAACAACGATAAGAAACCCTGTGACTTTTTGTAACCAGAACACACTCATCATTCTTATAATTAAATCTTCAAATTGTTTGTTCTCAATTTGTACCACTGCAAAGTTTTTCACTATATTTTTCTCCTCTTAAATATATTGTCTTGGCAACATCATATGTCTATTATAATAACATCGACCTTCATCTGTAGCTTTAATCTATAATTCTCTACTCAAACATTCCTTTAATTTCTCATTAAATTATTCATTTTTTCAGCAGACATTTATTTGGCACCAAATAAATATGTATATTGGACAAGTATGTTGTTTGCTCTCATGTAACTTACAATGTAAAGGAAAAGACGAAAAATATGGGTACATTTATTTTTATGTTTAATATGTTGATATGGACTGAATATATTTTTGTCCTCCAGAAATTGAAATATTGAAGCCCTAATTCTCAATGTGAGGGTATTTGGATATAGGATGTTAGGGAGGTAATTAGGATTAGAAGAAGTCACGAGGAGCGAGGTTCCCATGATAGAATTAGGTGATAGAATTTGTTGGATAAACTCCAGATATTTTGTGGAGTTAAAGACAAAATGAAGTGCTCATGGATTTATAAGGGTAAGAGAAAGGGTTCTCCAAAACAATACATGCATTTGTGACTGGATAAACTATATGAATTATGACAGAGTTTTCTAAAGGGGCAATATTCTCAGACTAAAAGAGGAGCATGTTTTGAAAATGTCACAACAAGGCTTTTGGGCTCACGTTAAGTTGGAGGTGTCTGTTAAACTTCTAAGATCAGATATCAAGTGGGCAGTTCAATGTGCAAGCTGAAAATTTATAGAAAAGTCTATATGGAAGATCCAGAATAAAATTATAGATTATAAGCATAGACTTATAGGTTGAAATTTATTATAGATCAGAGTTGTTTTTAAATCCAAGAGCCTGAATGAATGCTCCCTGGAAATCATATAGATACAATAATAAAATCAAGCCTCAAATGGACCTCATTTTATAGATCAGGAACGAAGAAAGAGCTAACATAGAGAAAGAACAATTGGTGAGGTATAAAAATCAAGGTAGTGTAAGGTAATTGAAGACAAAATAAAATAAAATTATCAATTTTTCCAAATATATCTGAGGGTTCAAAAATTTGAAAAGGAACTCATTATTGAATTTTGAAAGGTAGAAATCAAGGAGGATGTAAAAGAAGAGCCTCAATGCAGTTGTAGGAACAAAACTGAGGGAAAATTTGTTTAAGGATTTGTGAAGTAAGAAGCAGGTACAACCAAATGTGGATAACTTTTTCAACCCATTTTGCTATGAAGCAAATCAGAGATATAGAATGGTAAACTTAGGAAAATACAGAGTTGAGGAAGGAATTTCTAAAGTTAAAAATACTAAAGTATATGTCTACAATAACATAAATTATCTAGAAGAGAAATGAAGATAAAAGAGATAGTAGAAAAATAACAAGAAAAGAAATTCAGAAACCACAAGAAGGCAAAAGAAAAGAACGTATCCAAACCCAAGCCACTGAACTACAAGAGTGTCAGGGACAAAAGTATAACCTTCATATACAATGTCTTCAGGGAAATGGGTTGTGAGAAAAAGCCACAGTCAAGTTATAATAAGAGGTAAAGATGGAGGGAAGACAAAAAATATTGAGTATATGGACAAATTTGTTATAGGGAATTTGTATGAAATTATTGAATTGAATGTACAGGATAGTTAACCAGTGTGAGTCCAGTGTGAGTCTCTGGATGTGACTAAGGTAAACAGATAAATGAATTATTGTAGGGTTCCATGGAAATATACAAATATATTAAAAGTATATTCTAGGTAATTCACAAGTACAGATATTTAGGTTATATATATTGATTATAGCATTATATATTCTTAAGTGATACTTAACTCTTTTATGAGGCCTTTATAAGCCTTTTCTAGCTGTGTTTTATGTATTACATGTTCCTATATCACATCTGAAAATCTCCATTCTGTTCATTATCCTGTCTTTTGTTGTTGTTGTTGCTGTTTTTTTCATTTTCTGTTCATGTGTGTTTTTCTCCCACTACATTTTTTTAGGGCAGAAACTGTGTCTCATATATCTTTAGCTTCTACATGCATATATTGGTGCTTACGGAAGACACAAAAGGCCCTAGAAGTATATTAGTTAAGGACATTAGTTGATGTTGAAATATTAAGTTTTAAACACACAGAGAAGAAAATAGTCATGTAATTCAGGAGCATTGTAATGAGATTTTCTTTGTAGGTTTCTTAATATGTAATACGAAGCATAAACATTTTTAATTCCCATGAACTTGGGACCCTATTGGAGGGTTGAGCTGGAAGTACTGCTTTATCAAAGGGATTTGTTCTCATGGCAGAATCACGTTAGAATTTCTCCAATCTTTTTTTATGCCTAAAAAAGAAACAACAACCTATTTGTATGCAGAGAAACTTGAAACCCACTAGGTGTCTCAATCAGAGAAAATTTAACACAGGGAACTGGTTACATGGGTGACTGAAGACCAGAGGAACTCAATGTATGAGGAAGTAAGTAAGAGATTAGAAACAGCAGGAAGCACTACCACTCCTAGGACTGGAGGGACACATGAAAGAAGTGATATTATGTGAGCCCTGAAGCTTCTCTATAGCAGAGGCAAACCTCAGCAGGATCTAAGACCACAGAGAAAAGGGCTATTTTGCAGGAGCTAGAATCACAAGGAAGAAACAGCTGATACCAGTGAGGCCACTGGAAACAAATTCTGGGAGCACAGAAATAATCTTGCTTCTTCTCTACACTTGACCTCTGTTCTTACAGTTCCTCCCACTGCTAGAGGGCAAAGGGGCTTGGATAAGGTTGTTCCTAAAATATTAAGCAAAGAAAGAAGGGAAAATATAAAAATGTATTTAAGATAAAATATCTGCAAATTGCAGATATATGTTCTAAGATCAGGGGTATGCAAAGATAAATCTCTCAAATATATTTTACTAAATAATATAAAGTGATCACAAAACATTTACAATTGTGTTCTTACAATGGAACAATTTGGCTGAAACTGCTATAGGCAATGGACTCATTTGGAAGCGTTGCCCATTTACTCATGTATTTATTTGTATTGACAAAAATCTATGACTAAATTTTTAGTTCTTCATTTGGTTCATACATTATAAGAAAAATCCATTCTTCTTATCTGATTTAGAAATAATAGTGTTAAGATGGTAGAGTTCACTGATTTTGAAAGCCTAGGAAGAAATCGATTGAACAATATTTCTAGTCTCAGATCAGTGTTGTATGCCATTTTTAGTTTGAAATTACCCATTTGATTCTGCTACAGGAAAATGATGTTAGACAATTTAAGTAATAGCAATCAAAATTAATGAACATGCTTTCATTAAATTCACACGTACTGAAAATATTGTCATTGAAATCACTTTTCCCCACACAAAAAGAATATTTTATTTTGAGTGTTTTCTTTCTAATAATTTTCACTTTAAATGCCATAGAATAGGCCAAGATAACTTCAGTATATTTTACCAATAATTTCCTAATTGGGAATTGGGTTTGAGTCCATTTTTCTTTCATAAGAGGATACATATCTTTCAAAACAGAAGGGGGAAGTATCTTTAATGAAAACCCATCACAGATAACTTACATTTGATTAATATTGTTGATATTAGTGGATCTTTTTCCTCTAAACCTAGCAGTTTTTTTGGCAAATCAAACATTATTTTTCTGTCTCTGAATAAAAAATAAGTCAGGTTAGTAAAGAACAGTCACAGAAATCATATAAACTACTAAATCAAGATGGACCTAAGCTTTCAGCCCCTTCTTGGGTTACTTAATCAGAATTTTTTAGGCAAAGTCACAATGGGCCTGCAGGGAGTGACAGGGGCCTAGTTCAAATAGAAGAAATACCCTAAACAGTAGCCTAGAAGGAAGAGAAAGCACATCTTATAGAGAAGCCCATAAATCTATGCATATAAAATATTAAGTTTGAATGCTAACAAAATAAAATATAAAGCCAGAGTGTTCATAAGGACGACTTAGATCATGAAAGTGCTGAAATTTGGTACTCTTAGAGTGATGGAATTTCATTGAATTTTTGTAATGAAGAGACATGATCAAATTTTAATTTTAAAATATCTTCCTGCTTTAGTGTTGAGAAAACATTGATAGGAATATTGCAATAGATTGAAGGCAGAGAGAGCAATTCAAATGCTGCTGCAATTATCCTTGAAAGATGATAGTAGTTCTTGAGCTACTTATAGGTAGAGGGATTAGAGAGAACTGGGCTGATTTAAAAGCCACAAGGAAGAAAGCAGTGAAAAGCCATTGGTTAGATGGAACATTTGAATTAGAAAAAAGGGTTAAAGATGATAATAATTTCTGACTTCCAGACTTATTTTTACTTAGTTTTGTGCCTCAGTATGTTCAATAAGGTTAATGGCATTTTGTAAGCCTACATTTTCGGGGGTCAATTAAACAGTCTTTCCAAACATAACCGCCAGGTATTTTTTTTTCTCCAATAAGTAGGATGTAGAATCATAAAATTAGAAGTGATCTTAAATGTCATTTATTTCAGTGTTCCAAATGAGATGGCTAATTTTATGTGTCAACTTAGCTAGATAAGGGTTTGGACAATACCAATCTAGATGTTGAGGTGAAGGTATTTTGCTTCAGAAGTGATTAAAATTAAAATTAGTAGACATCGAATAAAGCACATTACCCTTCATGATGTGGGTGGGCCTCAATTAAATTAGAGGAAATGCTTGAGAAAAGACTGTGGTTTCCAGAAACCAAATCAAACGAAAACAAAACTGCTTCCAAGCTGCAACATAGAGTTTATACCTGAGTTTCAAGCCCTTTGAATAAAGACTGCAACATCAATTATTACCTGAATCTTCAAACTGCTAACTTCACAACTGCATGAGACAATTTTTAAAAATAAATATTTCTCTCTGTCTCAAATCTCTTCTGTTGGTTCTGTTTCTCTGGAGAATTCTGACTAATACATCAACTAACATGAAAATCTTTGCTACAACATTTCTGTTAGAAAGCCTAGCTATTTCTACTTGAAATATTACTGTGAAGTAGATTTAGTTTCATCAGAAATATTTTTTCCTTTGGACGGGGAGACATTTTGGTTGTTTGAAAATTCTTTTTCTTTTTTTTTTTTAATTTAAGTGAAAGGGTAAAAATTCTATTTCCTTTAACTGCCTTTTACAAATTAGTTGTTTTTGGTGGAATGGGAAGAAAGATTGTGTATTGTGTGGTTACTTTTTGGTATGTAAAATGAGAAAATTGACAGCATCTCTTATTACATATAACATTAATGAGAGGGTCAAATAGGAAGAAACATGTTTGAATTACTTAGCATTTTTACAAAACTTTACAATATTAGGTTTAGTTATCATTACCATATTCTCTTCTGAACTATTATAAAGTTTATAAAAACTGATTATTATTGAACATCTATGATGTAGTAACACTGGTGATTTACATTATTAGTGATGAATATGAGTTTCATTCTACAAGTTATTTGAGAATTTTTAGGTGTTTTCTATAAACGTTAATTCTATTCCAAATGCTGATTTTTTAATTGGCAGTTCATCTTCCCTTGCACTACATCTTAGTTCATGAAAGTTTACATAATTTCACAAAACTGGATATTTAGAGCAATGGGTAACAAAACCTGGTGTTTTGTCAATACAGAGATTGCTCATCAGACCCTACTCTTCTGTGTCAATTGTCAATTCATTTTTTTAAGGCTGCTTCAATGCCAGTGACTTTCATGGCAATTATAAAGCTTCTCTCAGGTGCCCTGAAATTCACTTTGCTACTCTTCTTCCACCATGACTAAGAGAAAACATGGTGAGCTGCCTAAGACCTGTACGCCTAGATGTGTTGAGTTTTTCTTACTGTAAAACATGATAGTTTTTCACCTATCTGTAGGAGAGGGAACATTTGTTCTTTCTTGAATGCCTCAAATCTATAAGGGAGAATTCTCATTCTCTGCCCCTGCTGTGCCCTGCCTCTCGCAATCATTTGGCTCAACTACTGGAAAAAAAGCAGGGTGTGCAATTGACCTAATATAGGGTGCCCTACTTTCTTTTTGTCCCTTCATATTCTCTAATCCCATGGAGTAGACATAGATGATATAGAAATAGAAATAGAGATATAAAAAGAAAAAAAGATATAAAATGAAACATATTAAAAAAAGAAAAATAGATATAGATATAGGTGATGTGTAGGTGGAATTTCTTCCACTCACTGACTGTTGGCCCTTGATGTCCTCTTCTGCTTTTTACCCACTGTAAATTCCATTGTCAATCATTACAGATCCTCTCTTGCTTAAGCCCACACCAAGAGTCTTTTGCCCCATGGGTTTTACAACTTGGCTAAATCCTAAATTCTGTCTACTCTGTTTTTTTTTTTTTGGTCAGTTCCACAAGGCCAGAGGAAAAATACAAAACCACATGTGTGTGTGTGTATTGGTTCTTAATGCTTCCTGGCTCTTAAGCAATACTTTGCTAATTCTCTCTCCCACTATGAAGAATCACTATTTCACTCCTTTTCTTCTCTAGCCAGTCAGTCCCTATGTTCTTTCACTTTTTTTATCCTCAGCTTTGCATTTTACTAGGAGAATTAAAAGAAATGCCAGAGACTCCTATTATAATTTCTATGTACCTATCTGCCCAAATAACTACAAGCACTTTCTTTGTGTCTAGTTACCTATAATTCTATCTAAATCCCATCCCTTTATTTGGGCATTAGATCCTATACCTTGAAATCATATATAATCTGTCATATTCCTCTCCAACAAGTTAATGTCAGACATGGGATTGTATCTTTGGTGATGTAATCAAGGTTCATGGCTTTAAATACGACCTACATATTGTGAAGTCCCCAGTTTTTTCTCCAGCAACAATCCTATATCCTGTATTTCACCATTCTTGACGTTTCCACTTGGATATCTAATGTACACCTCAAACTCAACATAGCCAAGAGGTAATTTTTGCTCTTTATCCTGAAACCTGCTCTATCAATAACCTTTCTCCAATCGGTTGGTATCAATTTCATCTTTCTACTTGTTTGGAATAAACAGTAAACATTTTGAAGTCATTTCTGTTTATTTTATATTCTGTGTCAAATATATCAGAAAATATTTGCTCAACATTCAAAATACGTACCAAATACAATCAGTTCTCATTTCTCAATCACTGCCATGCTGGTTCTCCCTTGGATCAGTGCAAATTGCCTTTTAATAGTTTCCCGTGCCCCCATGCTTGGCCCCTTATAGTCTGCTCTTAATTATTCAACCAGAGTAAGTGGATAATTCACTCCCCTGTAGAATATCTTACAATGGCTCCTCATTCCGCAAATGCTGAAGTCATTGAAATGGCCTATAAGATTCTTCTACAGTTTGCCCATTACCTCTGAATTCATCATCTACTTCTCATCCATTGCTTACTCATCTCCAACTATACTAGCTTCCTTCCTGTAACCACAGTATACTAAGAATACTTTCATCTTAATGCATTTTCTCTAGCTATTTTCTCTGACTGACCCACTCTTCCCCTAGGTATTCACTTGGCTAACTCCATCACTTTCTTTAACTCTTGGTTTAAATTGCATCTTCCCAATTAGGTCTAATCCCGCCTGCCCTACTTAATACTACACATTTCCTTCCCCCACACACCATGTTAAATCTCCTTTAGCCTGCTCCTATCTCCATTTTTAAAAATATATAATTTACTTCTCTACTATGGTAACTTGTGACTTTCATCCCTTACTTCTATATTAAAAGATAGAAACAGATAGGACAGATATCTGTGCTACTTTGTTCAGTTGATATATTCTAAATAATGGGAATAAAATCTGGAGCGTAGTAGGTGGTAATAAATGAATATTAATTAAATAATCTAGGGGTGAAGCCTATTATTTTTCTTTAGTGTTCCTAAGGATGTATCTGTTTAAAGTTTAAACATTTTTTTTCTTTTTGTTCTCCGGCATTCTACCCCAAAATCATAGAGATCATTAAGTCTAAATTGATTGAGATAAGGTCAGGTGTATAAAGAAAAATATCTTAAAATTGTCAGTTCTTACATAAAATGTTAATCAGCAGTTGTTTACTTGCTTTTTAACTTAGCTCTCAGAACACTTTGAAGATTGTGTTAGTAACAACATTTTATATAAGAAGAAAAAGCCATTTAGAAAATTAAGTAATATACCCAAGTTCATAGAACAAGATGGTGACATAGTTACTTTTTGAGCTGATGTATTTTTAATTTTATTCCCTCCATGTCACACAGAGAACCATGATCATGTTCCACTTTTATTTCTTATCTCTATTTAAATGCCCTGCTTCTCCATATGTTTTCTACTTTCTTATCACTCTAATCACTTTCTTTAGGCTATAATTAAGCCAATGATTACAGGCTGCCCAGTACCCCCTGGGCCCCCAAAATCAAAGTGCATTTATATATCAAGTCTTAGGTTCACTTCGAATGTATAAATATGGAAATACGTGTCACAGGTTTACACCTTTTGAAAAAAACAGTTGTTAATTTACAATACCATAATAACATAGTGGTATTAGTGTTTGCCATGACACAGTTAGTGTACTTAACTCTCTATATGGTGAATGGGAGAAAATATTAAAACATGTATTTGTTCCTGGGTTGCTTCCTTGCATTTCTCCTTTATGCTCCTCTTCCATTCCATTTTCTTCCATGACTTTCTTCTTTTCATATTTGTAAAACCCCCACTAATTATGAGATATATTACTAGGTACTAGAAAGCACAAATATAAAGACAGGCATAATCAAAGCATTCAGAGTCCAAATTGGAGTGATATCTGTGTACAACAGATTGTGATACATTCTTCTTTAAATGCTGTAACGAAAATATATACAAGTAGGGGAAAATAGGTTTTATTAGCATCTCATTATTTTTTCTAAGTATGTTTTTGTGTGTGCTTACCTAAAGCAATTACTTTCAGATAAAAATCACTTTGTTGGCTGTGCGTCGTGACTCACTCCTGTAATCCCAGCACATTGGGAGGCTGAGGCAGGTGGATTGCTTGAGCCCAGGAGTTTGAGACCAGCCCGGGCAACACGGTGAAACCCCATCTCTAACAGAAATACAAAAAATTAGCCGGGCATAGTGGCAGATGCCTGTAGTCCCAGCTACTCAGGAGACTGAGGTGTGAGGATTGCTTGAGTCTAACAGGCAGAAGTTCCAGTGAACCAAGATGGCGTCACTGCACTCCAGCCTGGGCAACAGAGTAAGACCCTATCTCAAAAAAAAAAAAAAAAAGAAAGAAAGAAAAATAAAAAAGAAAAAGAAAAAAGAAAAGTCACTTCGTTAAAAAAAATTCTACTTCTGTTAAAGTGTTGTTATTGTAATGAAAAGATACAGGAATTACTTGCACACATTCCATGAGGTTCTAAAGTTTTTATTTAAATAATACTGAAAATATTTTCATAGTAATTTAGTTTCAACCTTCAAGAAAAATGATCTCCAGAAAATGATCATATTGTAAAGCTTTTTGCAGGCTTAAACTGGAACAATTTTGAGGACAATTTAGCATTAAGCTAAACGACGCTTTAAATAGTAGTAGCATACCTTTTTAATTTAATGGCTCTACAGCTTCAATCACCAAAACTTAGCCAAATTCTGTTTCAAATTGAAAACCACAAAAGAGTGTTAAATCTAAGAGAGTTTGAAACCAGATAAAACCTAGATGAAATTTTATTCCACATATTGTCACACTTGTTTGGTTGAGTCAAATTCAATATTATTGTGAATGTCAGGAGGAACTTGGCATCAGTGCTGCAAATATTTTGTTTGACAATATGTATTTAAACAACTGAGTCAACAGAGCCGCATCTGTGCATCTTTCTACTAACAAGGGACCCGAAGTTTGCATTCCAGGCATTGAAGCTAGCAAAGACCAATGTAGCAAGTCCTGCGAAGGGTGAAAAGTATTCATTCATTATTCTGAAGGCAATGCTTCCTATCAATATGTGGAAAGAAATAAAAGTAAATTCACAGAATTACATAGAAATTGATGTAGAAAAGAAATTATTATATAGTAATCATTAAGCATCTTTTGAATTCCTTTTTTGGCTTGAGAATTTTATCCTATTATGATTCACACCTATCAATGTAGAAACCAAAACTTACCTTTCTAATTAGCAGATATATGCAAGTCTATGATTCAGAAATGAAAAAGCAGAGGTACACAAAATTCATTCTTTCTTTAGGCATTGGAGATATCAAGCTTTAGGGGGAATAGTAGTGTCAGGGTTTCTACTATCCAGCCCCCTGACTCACCTATAATACCCATGATGTGTTTGATGAGCTTCCCAATGCAGAATGGCAGCAGCAGTAGCTTCTTCCTTAAGGCAATCTCTATGCTGTTCTATGTGCTTTTCCTGGTTGAGTAACTTACTCATGAGTTACTTCTGGTACTTTTTGAGAGTCTGTGAGGTATGACATATCATTTAATAAATATAATGCCTAATTCCATTCTGATGTTTGAAACCAGGAACTCTGTGTAATGGCACGAATTATCATATAATGGTTCAACTTTTCCATGACTCTTGACAATCTCAATTTTTTAACTTACCGTTTCTGTCATAAAATTCTAGACAAGCACACCAGCCCACACCCACATACATACTCACACACAACTCTCATTTAGGTTTTGGTTTTCTCTTTTATCATGAAGACTTCTGAGACCAGATGGAGGAAAGCATACAGAGAAGCTTGCAATACCACAATAGATTCATAGTAATCAACCTTTAAATGTTGAAATTTATGTATTTCCAATGCATTTTTATCTACACTTAACTTTAAATATCTCCATCTCCCTCTTCTAGGATCTTAACTCTCATGAAAGCCTTTGTCACTGTTAGCAACTCTACCTTTTACAAAACAGTTTAATCCCTTTACTTTCCTGACATGTAAACTGAATTTTCATACTGTATCTCCATTTTTTTTCTTCTCCGTCTCACCTCTAATTCCCAATACTCAAACTATCTAAAAAAAAATGTTGAGAAGTTTCAATGCATCTTAGACTCAAAATCCCCAGATCTGGATTGTCTATCACTTCAAAAGCATCTGCTTTCCTTCTCTTCTCCTGCCCACCCATTCTTTTGATGGTTTCTCCTATATTAGGGAGTAGCAGCACCATCTATTTAATCTAAAACCCAGAAATTCAGAGTCTATGTCTCTTCCTTCCCCCTCAATTCTAACATTCCATCAATCACCAGTTTTACCAATTCTACCACTGCTTACATGTCTCCATAATTCATTTTCTTTGTTCTTCTTTGATATACACAACGGTGATTAGTTCAAGACATCAGGTCTTACCTATATTACTGCAAAAGGTCTACCAAACTAGATATTATCCCCATTCTTTTATACTTTCCCATCCATTCTCTAGAGTGCAGCCAAAAAAATAAGCCTAAAGCATCAATATCTTGCCCTATATGAGTTCTTTCTAAAGATTCTAGTTTAGATAATATCTAATCTTTTCTTTTTTCATGGCCTATCTGATCCCAGACAACCTCTCTAGGCATAAAATCCCCTAAAGCTCTCTTGCATGCTGAGATGCAAGCAGGAGGAGATTGATAAATTTCTGGAAAGCACCCTGCTTCTCTTATGCCTAGAGGCTTAGCATATTACTAACTACTACTCATACTCCAGCTTATAGAGTAAATATGCTTTTTTAAGGAAGTGATTTATAATGTACTAAAAACAGTAGATGTATTTTCTAAGTCTTCCCATAAAAACTGGCATATTATTCATATATTTATTATAATAAATCATAATGATTATTTAGTTATATATAGTTTTTTAAGAATATTGAAAGCCTTGTGAAAGCAGATAATTTTTTAAAATTTCTCAACATTTTCCCTCAAAGTCTAGCAGTATAAAACTAAATGAATAACAGATAATTGATACAAATCTGTGAAACAAATTGTAATGGTTAATTTTATATGTCAGCTTGACTGGGTTCAGGGATGCTCAAATAGCTGGTAAAATATTATTTCTGAGTGTGTCTGTGAGGGGGTTTCTGAAAGAATATAGCATTTAAATCAGTGGACTAAGTAAAGAAGATCTACCATCACCAGTGTGGGCAGGCATCATCCAATCCCTTGTGAGCCTAAATAGAACAAAATGACAGAAGAAAGATGAATTCTCTCTCCCCTTGAGTTGGAACATCCATCTTTTTCTGTGCTTGGACATGGGTGCTCGTGGTTCTCAGGACTTCAGACTCTGGGATTTGGTCCAGTGCCTTTCCCACCAATACCCTCCCATCACTTCTTAGGATTTCAGCTTTGGACTAGGGGTTACAACAGGAATAACCCTGGTTCTCAGTCCTTCAGACTTGGATGAGTCCCTCCATGGCCTCCATAATCAAGTGGGCACATTTCTGTAATAAGCTTTTTCTGACATATATGTATGTACTAGTCCATTTTTCATGCACTGAAAAAGATACCGAAGACTAGATAATTTTTAAAGAAAAAGAGGGTAAATAGACTCACAGTTCCAAGTGGCTGGCAGTCCTCATAATCGTGGAAGAAGGTGAAAGGCACGTCTTACATTGGCATTAGTCAAGAGAGACAATGAGAACCAAGTGAATGGGGCTTCCCCTTATAAGACCATCAGATCTCCTGAGACTTATTTACAACCAGCAGTGAATCATTAGAGAACAGTATGGGGGTAACAGTTCCCATGATTCAATTATCTCCCACCAGGACCCTCCCACAACACATGGGAGCTATAATTCAAGATGAGACTTGGGTGGGGACACAGCCAAACCATATCAATCTATATGAGTGAGAGTGTGTGTGCTTGTGTGTGTGTATATATATGTATATATACATATACATATATATACACACAGATATACATATATATGTGTGTGTATATATATATACACACACAGATATCCTATTTATTCTGTTTCTCTGGAGAACCCAAACACATAAATACTATTCATTCTAACACATAAATATTATTCATTCTATATGTAGATTCATTATAGATTCATTTTTTACAATGTGTATACAAACACACACATACATACACAACAATTTTGGGGAGTATATTTGAAGTTCAATAAATTATACTTACTCAAATACACAATTTGAGAAACGTTATTTTTTTTCTGAGAAATTACCATCACAAGTAAAATAACAAAAAATGTCATCAACTTCAAAAGTTGCCTCTTGTCCCTTTGAAATTCATCTGTTTCTTAACCTCTGTCCCAAGAAACCACTATCTGCTTTTTGCTACCATGTATTGATTTGCATTTTCTAGAATTTATATCAACAGAATCACACATTATGTAGTTTCTAGTCTAATTTATTTAACTTAGCATAATACTTTTGAGATTCAAGTTATTGTGTGTGTAAGCAATCTGTTTTCTTTTATGTTGAATAATATTCCATTGTAAGGATATACCACAGGTTGTTTATTTACATTCTGGTCATAGACACTGGGTTTATTTCCAGTCTTTGACTATTATAAGTAGAGTTGCTATGAACGATCACTAGACAACTTTTTATATTTCTCCTGGGGACATACTTAATTGTGTTGCTCTGATTAATAAAGTAGGTTTACCATTTCACATGTGTACCTTTCTCTCAGCAATGTTTTGAAATGGCTATTGTAGAGGTCTTGAACATCTCCATTCAATTTGTTTGTATTTTTTATTGCTATTTGTATATTTTGATATTACTGTAAAAGGGTTTTTAGAAATTAATTTCATTGAAATAATGACTGGAAATAATAGCTCTCTTGAGGTGGAAGCCATGAGCTGAGAAAAGCAAAATAATCACACATAAGGGCCTGCATCACAGATGCTTGAAAGCAGCCTCAAGAGCACGAACTGCCAACTCAAATTTTCTTAGTAAAAAGTAACCTCTCATCATTTAAAAATGAAAAATAGTTCCTTGGAGTAGTGTTTTGAACATCTGTACTATGTATTAAATTTGAATAAGTATCCATTTTATTTACTCATTTAAAAAATATCGGCCGGGCGCGGTGGCTCATGCCTGTAATCCCAGCACTTTGGGAGGCCAAGGCAGGCAGATCATGAGGTCAGGAGATTGAGACCATCCTGGATAACACGGTGAAACCCCGGTCTCTACTAAAAATACAAAAAATTAGCTGGGCATGGTGGCGGGCGCCTGTAGTCCCAGCTACTCGGGAGGCTGAGGCAGGAGAATGGCATGAATCCAGGAGGCAGAGCTTGTAGTGAGCCGAGATTGCACCATTGCACTCCAGCCTGGGCCACAGAGAGAGACTCCCTCTCAAAAAAAAAAAAAAAAAAAAAAATCTGCTCACCAGATGTCAGCATGAAGGTGGAACAGAAATTTCCAGTGCTCATTCCTGCAACAGGAACATCAGTTTGAACAACTATTCGTGCACAAAAACACAGTCATAATCGCTAAGAAAACCAGATGATAGATGACAAGACCTGGCTGTACCACAGAAATAAGAGAAGAGTCATTGAAGAGGATAGGAAGGGCAGTTTTACCTTACTCATGTTCCCTCCTCCAAATTCAGACACAATGTGGAGAGATATACTGTCTGATTGGGGAAAGGAGAGGAAAGTAAGCACCAGACTTTGGCTTGGACTCCAATACTAGGCCTGCCCCAGTAAAGCCCAGGACCAGGCAGGTCCCTAAGGCCCCAAACCCCAAACTCCTACCCTCAGCCTGAGCCATCATACCTGCCCTGGTGCCGGGCTGGATTCTGCAATCCCAGGCTCCAGGCCTGCCTGGCAAACTCAGTCTCCAGGACCACCCACCTCAGGCCAACCCCAGCATCTTCAGGCTCCCAACTGGCAGGGCACCTGCTTGGCCCCTGTAGCTTTTGGCTACAGGCCCACCCCAGGGTCTGACCAGCCCCACAGATTCTGGCTCCAGGTCTGCCGTGTATACTCTATCTCTAGGTGCACGCTAGATAGAATCAGGCCCACCCTGCCAGCCTAAAATTCAACACCATACCTAACACTAGGCTTGCCTCTGCCTCCCTAATTATAAGACTGACACCCGGCCAGGCGTGGTGGCTCACACCTGCAATCCCAGCACTTTGGGAGGCCAAGGTGGGCAGATCACAAGTTCAGGAGATCGAGACCATCTTAGCTAACACAGTGAAACCCTGTCTCTACTAAAAATACAAAAAGTTAGCCGGGCGTGGTGGCGGGCGCCTGCAGTCCCAGCTACTCGGGAGGCTGAGGCAGGAGAATGGCTTGAACCCACTAGGAAGAGGTTGCAGTGAGTCAAGATCGCGCCACTGCACTCCAGCCTGGGCAACAGAGCGAGACTCCGTCTCAAAAAAAAAAATGAAATAAAAAAGAAAAAAGACTGACACCCACAGACACAGACTTGCCAGCCCCTGCAAATATAGGTTATAGGATGCCCAGTACCAGGTCAGCCCCTGGGGCCCCTGGCTCTATGCCCACCTCAGGCTCCAGACCAGGATAATCCACACAACCCCAGGCTTTAGGCCTATGCCAGCACCAGGTCAGCACCCTGGCCTCAAGCACCATGCTGGCAGCCAAGACATAAGCTTCAGGCCTGTCCCTGTGGATCCAGCTTCCACAGCAGCATACCAGCCCCCATGAACCCAAGACCCAGATCAGTGCACACAATCCCAGGGTCCAGATGGGAAGATATAGGCTCTATGCCTGTCCCAGCATAAGACCAGTAAACCCAGAATGGACTTAACATCTGGGTCCACTGGGACATGCCTGGAGGCTGAGTCCACTGGGGCTGGGCTGGTGCTAGAGTGGGCTTGAAACCTGAGTCTATAGGACAGGGCTGTGTCCTGCTATAGTCCGTATGTCCTGGATAGGGTCTAGCCCAATAAACCCCAAAGCCAATCTGGCCTCTTTGGACCAAGGCTCCAGTACCCCCCTAGAAGGCACAGGCTCTATGCCAATTCCCATGGGCCCATGACCCAGGTATACCCTGCAGACTCAGGCTTCAGGCTGATACTAGCACTAAGCCAGCCCCAGTGAACTCAGCTTTCGGGCATGTCCCAATGAACCCAGATGTCAGGTCCATCCTGATGCCTGGCCAACTGCTGCACAATCAGGGTCAAGATCCACCCCAGAGTCCCATCAGTCCTTGTGAACCCAGCCTTCAGGCCCACCCCTACCAATACAGCATCTACTGATACAGATATAGACACAGAGCCTAGAGATACAGACATAAACATAGATAAAGATACAGATTACAGACACAGATGCAGATGCAGTTCCCACCAATACATGCTCCAGGCCCACCCTCACTTTCCTTTTAAGCACACACATGGACTGATAGTAAGAGGCTGGATAAAGATATTTTATGTAAATGGAAACCACAAGAGAGAAGAGGTAGCTGTACTTATATCAGATAAAATAGATTTCAAGTCAAAAACTGTAAAAAGAGACAAACGCCAATTCATTAAAAGGATATAACAATTATAAAAGTACATGAATCCAAAATTAGAGAACCTAAATATATAAAGCAAATATTAATACATAAAAGGAAGACATAGATTATAATAAAATAATAATGGGACTTACATACTCCACCATTGGCAATAGGTAAATTATCCCGACAGAATATCAACAAGAAAACATTGGATTTAAACTATAGTTTAGACCAAATAAATCTAACAGGCATATACCAAACATTCCATGCAACTTCAGTAGAATACTCACTTATTCTTTGCAAATACACACAGAACACTTTCCAGGATATATCATATGTTAGTCCACAAAACAAGTTTTAACATATTAAAAGGAATTAAATCACATCAAGAAAATGGTATGAAACTAGAAATCAATAACAGGAGAAAGATTGGAAAATTCACTCATATATGAAAATTAAACACTATGCTCCTGAATAATTAATGAGTGAAATAAATTAAAAGAAAAATTTAAAAATATTTTTGGGAAAACAAAATTAAATATATAGCAAAACTTATGGGATGCTTATAGCTATACATGCTTACATCAAAACAGAAGAAAAATCAAACAAACAGCTTCATGCATGCATCAAGGAACTAGAAAAAGAGCAAGCTAAGCCCAGAGTTAGTAGTCTCAGCTTTTTGTTTATAGCAACACAAGAACAGGCTAATATAGGTGCCAAGAACACAAAGTAGGGAAAATACAGTGTCTTCCATAAATGATATTGGGAAAACTGAATATTCACATGCAGAAGAATGAAATTAGACTCTTAACTCACAGCATGTGCAAAAACCTACTCAAAGTGAATTAAAGTAAATGTAAAGCTTGAATTGTAAAATTAATACGAGAAAACAGGGAAAAATCTTGAAGACATTGTTGTTCAGCAAGTGGTATTACCCAAACTGAAAGCCATTTCATGGCAAACGAAATAGTCAACAGATAGAAAAGACATCTTAATAAATGAGAGAAAATATTACCAAATAATACATCAATAAGGTGCTAATATTCAAAATATGTAAGGAACTCAACGAGCTAAACAGCAAGAAAACAAATAATCAGATTTTAAAATGAGCAAGAGATTGAACAGATGTTTTTTAAAAAGGAAACATATAAATGGTTACAAGTTATATTTAAAAAATGCTCAGCATCACTAATTATCAGGAAAATGTAAGTTAAAATCACAATGAGATATCACTTTACTTCTGTTAAAATAATTATTATCAAAAATATGAAAAATAACAAGCAAGGGTGTGGAGAAAAGGGAATCTCGAGCAACATTAGTGGCAATGTAAATTAGTACAGGCATTATAGAGAACAACATGCATGTTCCTCAAAAATTAATAATAAGGCTGGGTGTGGTGGCAGCCACCATGGCCAACATGGTGAAACCTCGACTCTACTAAAAATAAAAAACAAAAAAATTAGCTGGGCGTGGTGAGACCAGCCTGGCCAACGTGGTGAAACCTCGACTCTACTAAAAATACAAAAAATTAGCTGGGCATGGTGGCAGGTGCCTGTAATCCCAGATACCTGGGAGGCTGAGGCAGGAGAACTGCTTGAAGCCGGAAGGCAGAGGTTGCAGTGAGCAAAGATCGCGCCACGGCACTACAGACTGGGCAACAGAGCGAGACTGTGTTAAAAAAATAATAATAACAATAGAACTGCCATGTGATCCAGCAATCCTACTACTGTGTGTATACCTAAAATAAATGAAATCAGTATGTGGAAAAGATATCGATGTTCCCATGTTTCTTGTAGCACTTTTCACAATGGCCAAGATATAAAGCTATCTAAGTCCATTAAGGATGAATGAATAAGGAAAATGTAACATATGTCCACAATGGAATTCTAGTCAGCCTTTAAAACGAAGGAAGTCCTGTTATTTGCAATAACATGGATAAACCTGGGGAAGTTTATGTTAATTGAAATAAAACAGACGCAAAAAAAATATTGCATGATCTCGCTTCTATATTAAATCTGAAAAAGTTGAACTCATAGAAGCAGAAAATAGTAGCCCACCCAGGGCTGGTAGGCACTGTGGGGAGAGAAGGTTTACAAAGCTGTGGATCAAAGGATAGAAAATTTCCATTAAATAAAAGGAAAACATTCAAAAAATCTATTGCACAACATGGTGACTACAGTTCATAACAATATTCTTGAAATTGCTAAGATATTTTAAGTGTTTTATCATAAAAATAATAAGCTTGTGAGATAATGCATATATTAATTAGCTCAATTTAGCCATCCTACAATGTGTATAAACATTTCAAAACATCATGTCATATATGATAGATACAATTTTCATGCCAATTAAAAATATATAAATTCATTAAAAACATGTTTGTGCAGGCAACTTATGGAATTAGATTTTAGTGTTTTTCATATGAATCTAAATGAATTATTTAAATAATGCATTTGTCTTCTCATAATTTTAAACATAAAAATTTTGTCTGTTATCAGGACAAAGCTGTGATTCCTCTTTGAGATAATTTTAATTTTAGAATGTCATTCTCAGCCAGTCTCAGTAGCTCATGCCTGTAATCCAAGCAGTTTAGGAGGCTGAGGTGGGCAGATCACCTGAGGTCGGGGGTTCGAGACTAGCCTGACCAACATGAAGAAACCCCGTCTCTACTAAAAATACAAAAATTTAGTCAGGAGTGTTGGCGCATGCCTGTAATTCCAGCTACTCCGGAGGCTGAGGCAGGAGAATCGCTAGAACCCGGGAGGCAGAAGTTGCAGTAAGCTGCGCGAGAGCGCACCATTGCACTCCAGCCTGGGCAACAAAAGCGAAACTCTGTCTCAAAAAAAAAAAAAAAAAAAAAAAAGTCATTCTGTCTCCAGCAAGAAGGTTAGTCAATAAATTATAATTACAATTTTAAAAATTATTTGCATGT
Source organism: Homo sapiens (assembly GCF_000001405.40). NCBI lineage: Eukaryota > Metazoa > Chordata > Mammalia > Primates > Hominidae > Homo > Homo sapiens. Next base: position 141,839 of record NW_003315915.1, on the reverse strand, counting down.
TTCTTTATCTTAATATGATAAAAACTAGGGTTTAGTGACTTCCAAAATCTTTTTAGTTATTAGTGTCATACTAAAGAAAAGAAAATTGTTTCTCCTAGTTTAGTTTTTTTTTTCACAGTTTCCATTAACAAATTGAAATGTGTACTTTTTGAAGAAAAAAAAATCCTCTTTTGAAGTACAAATTTTGAAGTGTTTGTTTAACCAAAAATTCCATTTATTTCTCCTCAAACCACCTAGGTTTTTTCTCACAGCAGATCAAGATTAAATATATTTGGGGCAGTTTTTTCTTAGAAGATATATAGAAAATATCGGACATACCTATATTTTGTATAGGATAAATACAAAATGTAACAAACACTAGGTAAACTCAGGGTAAACCCAATTCACATAGAATATTGACTAGCACACAAAAATGACAGAAGAAAGCAGACACTGTAGATATTTGCATTTACTTTTAAATTGTAATTCTAGTTATTTCAGATTTCTCCCACAATGTGGCTACTTTGTCAAAAATCAATTTAATGGTGAAAAAGCGTGATTCATTGCATATAGTAATAGAGTTTCCTTTCCTTGCTTATCATCCTTCCTTCTCTTATTTCTTCTCTTCCCTCCTTTCTTTTCCTCTCTTTCAAAATATTAATATTTAGGGGCTTGCACATGCTAGGATGCAATGTTGATTAGAGAATTAAAATGCTTTTCAGTTCCTTCAAATCTTAAAACACAATCTCAGTCTAGGAATAAAATGACCAACGACTTATAATCATGAGAAGTGCAATCTTTAAGTATAGGCTTTTGCCCATCTCGCTGCTTGAGCCTGTGGAAGATTGACAATTGTTGAGAGATAATTCTCCATAGGTCAGTTGTTTTCTGTACATCCTGAAAGTTTCAAGATGTACAGTCAAGATGTACAGAAAGACTGCCTTTTATAAGTACTATCAAAAGACGTGTTCAACAAACCAACTTGGAAAATACTCGTTTTTATTTTCAGTATAGTACAAGCAATGTTTTCCTCTGAAAAAAGAAGAAATTTGTTTGCAAATATTTGCTTGGAGAGGCTTGTTTGCAGCCCTCTATTGAAAAAAAAGTGATTTTCTAGTTCAAAATTTCTCACCACACGTGTTACAAACTCCCTATGTTCTCAGCATCCATATAGGTCCATGGGACTGAGGGGACTGGTACAAACATAAAATCCGTGGTGCCTTCTAGCCATAGGTAATCAAGTTACCTTTTTCTGAGCCCAGGGTCTTGTGTCTTCTGACAGCATTCATGAATCTCAGAGCTTTCATTAGTTTCTTATCGGCTTGTATCTAACAATAGACTTGGTTCACTTTCTCTGCCTTTTGCTATTCTCATGTACCCCCTTCTTGCAAATCCTGATTTCTGACCACCAAGGGCCAGAGATATAGAGATATGTGGGTAGAAGAAGAAAGTAAAATAAATTTCTTAGTTAATGGCTATTGAAATTATATTGTCTAGTGTTGTCAGGTGTTTGAAATTGATCCCTATACTGACACTGTGCATTTATGAGGTCTTCAGAGTTTTTATCCCCCAAACAATGAAATTTCTGATTTGCAATTTCCTTGACATGATAAAGCGTAGGTCTGGCTAGCCAATAGCTACTTCTTCAGGCCATAGGAACTTGGAATCAGCTTGCCCATCCAGCTGATCCTGTTGAGTTAAACATCAATTCTCTGTTTCATTCATGGACATAATATGCTACAAACACTACTTGCCCAGCAAAAGCTTGAAAACACATACAGGCTTAGATGTGACAACTTATATTCCACCTCAGAGAAACTATATAGACAGGTTTGTGCCGTCTTGGTTTATCAAGAGTGGCAGTGGCACAAAACCCAGGACACTGTGCTTCTAAACCTTCATGAGACCTTTATTCTTTGTTTCCTCTGGAAAATCCTGATCTCCTGACTTGAAATTAATAGGATAATACATCTTTTCCTCCCATATTGAGTGAAGGTAATGTAAAGTACACAAAACTCATTTGATTTTATTTACAGAAAAATACTTGTCTCAAATTCTGACTCCTGAAAATTTATATTCTGAAATATAAGTTAGAGAGTTTGCAAAAAAAATGAGACATTGTAACTCACCTGTACTGCCATGTTTTACAACAAGTTCTGCATGCTGGATTTTGATTCTGACTTCTATTTTCTTGGGCCATAAGTTGAAACTAAGTTGAAAATAGTTCTAATTATTAAATTCATAACATTTGTTTTAGCTAATAATACATTAACACAATGTTCTGTATTATAATCACAAGGGCTATTATTTTAAGAAATTAAGTAATTTTTCCCTCTCTACTTTGCTCCCAGCCTTTTATAAATACAAAGTAAAAGTGAGATAAATGATCAAAAAGAGGGCAATAAGTGAAAAATAGAAAACAACAACACATTTGAATATTTGAGAGTCTGTATTCTGATGATATTGTTACCAAAACACCAGGGATTTGGCCTAGGTCCTGCTGCTCACTGCACAGTAAGCCAATCACTGCGATGACAAGTATTGCCAAGGAAGAGGGCTTTAATTAGGTGCTACAGCCAAGGAGATCGAGCTCAGTCTTACATCCATCTCCCTGATGGGCCAAAACTAGGGGTTTAAATAGCAGGGAAGAAATGTAACAATGTGTAAGAAAGTAGAAACTAGGGAGGGGGCAAGGAAGCAATAAGGATGAATGAGGGGTCCGGGATCTCACGGATGTGGTGATCTGGTGAGTTTCAGTTCTTGGATAATTTATTTTTCTCCTTCCTTTCTTCCTTCTTTCCTTCCTTCCTTCCTTCCTTCCTTGCTGCCCAAAGGTCCTTTCCTGAGGAAGGAACTCAGATAAAACAAATACAAGTTTCAAGATTTAAGACTAGAAAGGTCAATTTCTATGTTTATCTGAAAGAACAGTCGATGGGGCTATTGGGTTAGCTTCGATATCACTGCTTCTGGCTACAGAGTAATTTAAAAAAATATATCCTGTAGTGTTTGTAAAGCTTTAGCATTGGCCACAGGAGCTAATTCAGAAAGAAAACTAGATGAAGCTTTGATCAAATTTGAATGCTATTGGAAATCAATAATCAACAGAACAATACAAAAATACAGAGAACTTTATTAGCTCTTATTAAGATTATAGTTACGTTTCTTCCAAGCCTCAGGGTATATGCTTAGTTTGATTTTAGATTAATTTTCTTTTAAAGCATTACACATGTATCTAAGTGAGTTTTAATTTAAAATTAATCAGTGAGGCAAACCATTATTAGGATTTTTCTAGGGAGCTGACACCAGGTTGAATGTTAAAGGAACTAGATGTTATTAAGTTCATTTCTCTCTGATAATATATCATAGCAAAACTTGAGGATAAATACACTGGAATCTGAGACAGATTACTTGAATGTGAACACTAGCGGTCCATAGTCCACATGTTATCTTCTTAAACTTTCCCATAAGGCTATATTATTTAGGTTCAGTCAGGTTAATAGAATGAAAGGCTTTAACATAGGGATTAGAGTTTACAGAAAAGAAAAGAAGATGTAGGGAAACAAAGGTCAGCCAGGTAATCAACAAAGGCCAAGAAATGCAGCCAGAAAATCAAGGTGGTTTAAGACCTTAGCCAAAACTACTGGAGCACGTGATTGTCAAAGGAACCTGCTGAGATCTTCAGAAATAGCCTGCCTGTTTCTGTTAACAGCATCAAAGCAGGTGAGAGATAAGCAATTTCAAGCTTTGTGTATCTTATATTTGTCAACACATCCGACCATAACCCCCTTCAGGAATTGCATAATTTATTCCTATTCCTCTTGCCAAATTATAACATTAGTTTGCCTTATAATATTCTAATTTTTAAAAAACAATTTTCTAACTTTCATTTTCAGTTCAAGAGTACATGTGCAGGTTTGTAACATAGGTAAACTTGTGTCATGAGGGCTTATTTTACAGAGTATTTCATCACCCAGGTATTAAGCCTAGTACTCATTAGTCATTTTTCCTGATCCTTTCTCCATTTCCACCCTCCACCCTCCGATAGGCCCCATGGTATGTTGTTCCCCTCTGTGTGTTCATGTGTTCTCATCATTTAGCTCCACTTATAAGTGACAACATGTGTTATTTGGTTTTCCGTTCCTGTGTTAGTTTGCTAAGGATAATGGCCTCCAGCTGCATCCATGTCCCTGCAAAGGACATAATTTCATTCTTTTTATGGCTGAATGGTATTCCATAGTGTATTTTTTTTTTAATTTATTCACCCATTTTTTTATTATTATACTTTAAGTTTTAGTGTACATGTGCACATTGTGCAGGTTAGTTACATACGTATATGTGTGCCATGCTGGTGTGCTGCACCCACTAACTCGTCATCTAGCATTAAGTATATCTCCCAGTGCTATCCCTCCCACCTCCCCCCACCCCACAACAGTCCCTAGAGTGTGATGTTCCCCTTCCTGTGTCCATGTGATCTCATTGTTCAATTCCCACCTATGAGTGAAAATATGCGATGTTTGGTTTTTTGTTCTTGCGATAGTTTACTGAGAATGATGGTTTCCAATTTCATCCATGCACCTACAAAGGACATAAACTCATCATTTTTTATGGCTGCATAGTATTCCATGGTGTATATGTGCCACATTTTCTTAATCCAGTCTATCATTGTTGGACATTTGGGTTGGTTCCAAGTCTTTGCTATTGTGAATAATGCCGCAATAAACATACATGTGCATGTGTCTTTATAGCAGCATGATTTATAGTCCTTTGGGTATATACCCAGTAATGGGATGGCTGGGTCAAATGGTATTTCTAGTTCTAGATCCCTGAGGAATCGCCACACTGACTTCCACAATGGTTGAACTAGTTTACAGTCCCACCAACAGTGTAAAAGTGTTCCTATTTCTCCACATCCTCTCCAGCACCTGTTGTTTCCTGACTTTTTAATGATTGCCATTCTAACTGGTGTGAGATGCTATCTCATTGTGGTTTTGATTTGCATTTCTCTGATGGCCAGTGATGATGAGCATTTTTTCATGTGTCTTTTGGCTGCATAAATGTCTTCTTTTGAGAAGTGTCTGTTCATATCCTTTGCCCACTTGTTGATGGGGTTGTTTGCTTTTTTCTTATAAATTTGTTTGAGTTCATTGTAGATTCTGGATATTAGCCCTTTATCAGATGAGTGTATTGCAAAAATTTTCTCCTATTCTGTAGGTTGCCTGTTCACTCTGATGGTAGTTTCTTTTGCTGTACAGAAGCTCTTTGGTTTAATTAGATCCCATTTGTCAATTTTGTCTTTTGTTGCCATTGCTTTTGGTGTTTTAGACATGAAGTCCTTGCCCATGCCTATGTCCTGAATGGTAATGCCTAGGTTTTCTTCTAGGGTTTTTATGGTTTTAGGTCTAACGTTTAAGTCTTTGATCCATCTTGAATTGATTTTTGTATAAGGTGTAAGGAAGGCATCCAGTTTCAGCTTTCTACATATGGCTAGCCAGTTTTCCCAGCACCATTTATTAAATAGGGAATCCTTTCCCCATTGCTTGTTTTTCTCAGGTTTGTCAAAGATCAGATAGTTGTAGATATGCGGCGTTATTTCTGAGGGCTCTGTTCTGTTCCATTGATCTATATCTCTGTTTTGGTACCAGTACCATGCTGTTTTGGTTACTGTAGCCTTGTAGTATAGTTTGACGTCAGGTAGTGTGATGCCTCCAGCTTTGTTCTGTTGGCTTAGGATTGACTTGGCGATGCGGGCTCTTTTTTGGTTCCATATGAACTTTAAAGTAGTTTTTTCCAATTCTGTGAAGAAAGGCATTGGTAGCTTGATGGGGATGACATTGAATCTGTAAATTACCTTGGGCAGTATGGCCATTTTCATGATATTGATTCTTCCTACCCATGAGCATGGAATGTTCTTCCATTTGTTTGTATCCTCTTTTATTTCCTTGAGCAGTGGTTTATAGTTCTCCTTGAAGAGGTCCTTCACATCCATTGTAAGTTGGATTCCTAGGTATTTTATTCTCTTTGAAGCAATTGTGAATGGGAGTTCACTCATGATTTCGCTCTCTGTTTGTCTGTTGTTGGTGTATAGGAATGCTTGTGATTTTTGCACATTGATTTTGTATCCTGAGACTTTGCTGAAGTTGCTTATCAGCTTAAGGGGATTTTGGGCTGAGACAATGGGGTTTTCTAGATATACAATCATGTCATCTGCAAACAGGGACAATTTGACTTCCTCTTTTCCTAATTGAATACCCTTTATTTCCTTCTCCTGCCTAATTGCCCTGGCCAGAACTTCCAACACTATGTTGAATAGGAGTGGTGAGAGAGGGCTTCCCTGTCTTGTGCCAGTTTTCAAAGGGAATGCTTCCAGTTTTTGCCCATTCAGTATGATATTGGCTGTGGGTTTGTCATAGATAGCTCTTATTATTTTGAAATATGTCCCATCAGTACCTAATTCATTGAGAGTTTTTAGCATGAAAGGTTGTTGAATTTTGTCAAAGGCCTTTTCTGCATCTATTGAGATAATCATATGGTTTTTGTCTTTGGCTCTGTTTATATGCTGGATTACATTTATTGATTTGCGTATATTGAACCAGCCTTGCATCCCAGGGATGAAGCCCACTTGATTATGGTGGATAAGCTTTTTGATGTGCTGCTGGATTCGTTTTGCCAGTATTTTATTGAGGATTTTTGCATCAATGTTCATCAAAGATATTGGTCTAAAATTCTCTTTTTTGGTTGTGTCTCTGCCCGGCTTTGGTATCAGAATGATGCTGGCCTCATAAAATGAGTTAGGGAGGATTCCCTCTTTTTCTATTGATTGGAATAGTTTCAGAAGGAATGGTACCAGTTCCTCCTTGTACCTCTGGTAGAATTCGGCTGTGAATCCATCCGGTCCTGGACTCTTTTTGGTTGGTAAGCTATTGATTATTGCCACAATTTCAGATCCTGTTATTGGTCTATTCAGAGATTCAACTTCTTCCTGGTTTAGTCTTGGGAGAGTGTATGTGTCGAGGAATTTATCCATTTCTTCTAGATTTTCTAGTTTATTTGCGTAGAGGTGTTTATAGTATTCTCTGATGGTAGTTTGTATTTCTGTGGGATTGGTGGTGATATCCCCTTTATCATTTTTTATTGCGTCTATTTGATATTTGTACCACACTTTCTTTATATGACATTCGAATTAGTTATCATACAGGGGGATGGATTCTCATAAACATGGTTTAACATTTCTTCTCTGCATTGTAAAGGACACCATTGGGAATAATGCCAACTTAACAACAATTCAGAACAACTTCTGTGGGGTAGAAATTGTTATCATCCATTTAACAGAGGAGCACATTAAAGCTTATGGAGTTTAGGTAACTTGTCTAAAAATGTAGGTCCAAAATGTAAGACAGTATTCAAATTCAGGATAAACTGAAAAAAGTGCAAGTGCCTATATGGCAGCTCCAGAGATTCTAATTTTATTGCTCTTGGTTGGCATTCATGTAATTTGATTCCTATGAAAACCTTCCAGGGTATTTGAATGTACAAGCAGACATGAGAAACACTGAAATAAATCAGACTCGTATTCACTCATGATTTTTAAATTGTGGATTATGGAATACTCGTGGGAATAAGTTTTCTCTTTATAGGCCTGTAACATTTTTAAAAATCCAAATTTGGCCAGGCACGGTGGCTCACGCCTGCAATCCCAGCACTTTGGGAGGCCAAGGCAGGTGGATCACGAGGTCAGGAGTTCAAGACTAGCCCGGCAAAGATGGTGAAACCCCGTCTCTACTAAAAATACAAAAATTAGCCGAGCATGGTGGCAGGCGCCTGTAATCCCAGCTGCTCAGGAGGCTGGGCCAGAGAATTGCTTGAACCCGAGAGGCGGAGGTTGCAGTGAGCCGAGATCGTGCCACTGCACTGTAGGCTGGGTGACAGAGTGAGACTCTGTCTCAAAAAAAAAAAAAAAAATCCACATTCACTCTTTTTCCTACAAGTGAACTGTACATAATTCTATGAATTATTATTGTTAAAATTAATATTATTTTACTTTCCATATCCTAAAGCTACTTCATGAAACATATGTAAATATTATTAAGGATTTCTTACATTTGTTAATCACACACTATAGTTAGAGCACTGCTAAGAAAATAAGACAAGTATTCTATCTTGAATTTAACATTGTGTGCAGTTGCAAAACTCGTATTGCAACTTTATATAATGAAACTGTTAAAGTGCTCAACATCTCCTCAGAGGGTGAAAAATTTCTGGGAAAATTCTCAATTAAGTGGGAAATGTTATTTTTGATTTTAATTGTTTTTTAAACAGTATTTTCTTGCTATTTATAAAAATACATGTGCAATTACTTAAAATCATTACTGACAAAAAGTAAGTAACCAATAAAGTTTTTTTAAAGTATGAGAAAAAGACAAAATGTGTTTACTAAAATATATGTGCCTTGTTTTTGGCCTGGTTTCATAATAGCGCAACTCTAATACACATATAGTTTTAGATAAACTATATCATTGCTTTTTTTTCTATACGTCCATCTGTACTATATTTCATCAAATTGGTTATAAGACATATCATATGTATGAATCACTAAGAAAGAAAAACCACTGCTAAGAAAACTATTGTGCAAGCTTTATTATCATTTAGAATGTTTATTTTGTAACTGTGGACAAACTGTTTAATTTTCTTTAGATATAGATTCTTATGTTTTGAAAAATAAAGAGATGACTGAAATAAATTAGTTTTAATGATAGATCTTACAACCATCTACCAACACAGGTTTCTCCACCACTTCTGGGTATATGGAAGATGAGGATCCTCATCCCCAGGCAGTGGGTCATAGCCATGTTCATAGACCTAAAAATAACATGGAAACAGAACTAGAGTGTGTAATTTCTACATTGAAGCAATAACAAGCTCATACATGATTCTCTACTTTCTCCCTTTCTCTGCCATGGCAATGGGGAAAGCAGCTTTATACAGCAATGTTGGAAGCACAGATTTAAAACAACTTGGGCTATTGATTCACCACAGAGTAGACACTTGTCCTGAAAAGTGAGTTAGACTTTAAAAAAATTCACAAGTGAGAAATAAATTTTTATTGCACTAGAATACTGACATTCTATTTCTGCAGCCAGATAAAATCTATCCTGGCCAATGCAGAAATTAGTATAAAAATGGGGCAAAGACATGGAAAACCTAAAATCTGTGGCTAGGCAGTGAGTGGTGAAGGGACCAACATGAGAGTTGCAAAGATGACAATCATGTTACACAGTGGCAAAAACATTCATAAAATTACTATGTATACATGAGAACTGCACATCATTTTGAATAAAATAGTAATGTACTTTGGTTGTTTTCCATGATGTTTTTGCAAGGTGTTAGCAGAATGAAATGAGCTTTGTAAAGAACTGGCTGTTTTGCCTACAAACTTGAGAAGAAGAAGAAAAGAAAGTGTCCATAAGTTCATGGGCTTGCAGAATTAGAAAAGGCAACTGCTCTTACATTCTAGACAGAAAGCAATAAATTTGAGAAAACACATAAGAAGGAAACAGGTAATGAAAACTTTCAAGTGAACAAATCTCCCTATGACACAGAAAAGGTGAAAGGAGTTGTGCCCAGTAAGTGTTTAAAATATAATACAATAATTCCGGGCAATGAATGAACTAAGGAGATAGACTTCAGTAAAACTACAATAACTCCAATGTTGCCTGTATCATATCAATGAGCAAAAGACATTGAGGAAATAAAGCAAATAAGTACAAGTGATCTGAGAGTCCTTGTACTAGTTGCCAAAGAAATAAAAAAGCTGGACTCAGTGGATAATCATGAGATACCTAAAATAGCAATAGTACACTAAGTCATATTTAAGCAGGTCATAGATTAAGAAAGTTGGCCAGTCTGCCAAGGAGAGTATATTTCTCAATGTCTACTTCACATTGTTCAGTGAAGAAAACAGAAAATAAAGAAATCTCCCCAGACAATGAAGCCAGCAGCCCCAGAGGAAAACAAGGAAGCTACTCAACAGAGAACAAAATCAAGGCCTAACCATGGGACAGTCTCTCCCTAGAATAGAACTTTTGGTGCACATAGGACTTCAGAATGCTAAGAACCAGTAGCTGTCTTTTCTTTATATGGTCTCTTCCTGAATAGGTAACTGAATTATGGAATATGGAGCATTGGGGATAGATAGTTTTTCTTTTTAATTTGATTTTTTAATTTTATTATTTTTAATTTAATATTTGTTCTCAGGTTAAGAATGACTATGTTGGTCAGGCACAGTGGCTCATGCCTGTAATCCTAGCACTTTGGGAGGCTGAGGTGGGCAGATTGTCTGAGCTCAGGAGTTCGAGACCAGCCTGGACAACATGGTAAAACCCTGTCTCTACTAAAATACAAAAACTACCCAGGCATGGCATCATGCATCTGTAGTCCCAGCTACTTGGGAGGCTGAGGCAGGAGAATTGCTTGAACCTGGGAGGCGGAGGTTGCAGTGAGCCGAGATCCAGCCACTGCACCACTCCAGCCTGAGTGACAGAGCAAGACTCTGTCTCAAAAAAAAAAAAAAAAAAAAAAAAGAATGACTATAGAGTGACTATGTTTAAAAAAAAAAGTTACTTGGTGTTTGAGATAAATCTTGATAGTGAGTGGGATTTGGGGCTTGCCTTCTTTAGGGAAAGTTGTATTAATTAATTTAGCATGAATCAAATATTTGATGATCAGTGAGTAGCCTGGGATAAACATTATTAGTGTTAACCAATACTGGGTCCACTTCCACCTCCTCACATTAAAGGCATCGCATCCTAGACTGCCTGTACTTGAATGGGCCCATGATTATCTCTAGCCACTAATGCACTGTAAATTCATGACTGTGGGATCCTCCATTTTCTTTCTTCTTCACTTCTCCAGTGACTGAGGAGATAAACTCAGATAAAATAAAATCACAAGATAAGAAAATTCCAAATTTCTGAGTTCCAGAAGAATATTTATGAATCATTATGATGAACAAACATTTATTTTCATAAGCTATAACAATTTGGAGACTGTTTCTCTAGTGTAATCTGGACAATCCTAAAAATATTAAACTATTGGATTTTTTTAAATATAGGGTGTGATTTTGTGAATCATTTTTGTCTCAGAATAATCAATATCTTTGGTTTAGTATACAATATTGTTGTGTGACATCAAGATGATAATGATGCTGCAAAGCGACTATCACCTTTTTCATAAATTTTACAGGTGATTGCTTGCTATCTTACAGAAAATTATCAACAGCTGATTTTTGAGTAAGTTCAGTCCATACACTAACAATGATCGCTATACAAATCCTGCTGCCTAGATGAGAGTGATTTTAAAGCACTATCAATTGAAAACAATACATCTTAATTTCAGATATGTTGAAAACAGTTTATCTTTAAACTGAGGAGATACAATGTGTCTTGTAAAATTTGTTTTTTTGTAGAGTGACACTCTCTTAAGAAGTTATTGGATACTATTCTCTAATAAAACTAAAAAGTTGAAAGTCAAAAGAAAATAAAATGAACTCAACAAATTGGCTCATCAAGTATATAATTTAAGGGAAACCCAGAAAATGATGTGGAATATGTTTAAAGAATAGCCCATACTGGATAGTAAAGCTTGTGGTAGATATAGACAATAAAATACAATAAATAAACAAATCTCCCACACACATGCTTGCAAACACACACACACACAACTAAGAATTCACAAAATATTTGATTTTATGCATATTTTGAATAAACATAAAAATTCTTATAAAAAAGTTGAAAGTTCTACAAGTGAAAAAGAAAGAAATAATAATAATAAACAAGAATAAAATATAGAGTTTATCTTGACTCTGTAACATTTGCTTAATTATAAAAATAAGAATTCTATATTTATTGAAAAATTAAAATAGTAATATTATTGTATAGAAAGAATAGAAAGTGGACAAATGGGATTTATGGAGGAGGGCCAAAATCTCACATATAAGAGGGAAGTGTAAATGGATAATGATTGAATTTGATTAAAGCAAGGAAGAATACATAGGCAAATAAGCCAGATACATGAAAATAACTATCAGAAAAAAATTATGGAATAATGTAATGTAAATAATATAAATGATTCCTTCTAGAAACAGTAGTAAGATGGGAAGGGGTTTTAGGAAATTCAATTTTCACAGTCACTTCATCATTGACAGTTGATGTTTCAACTGTAAACATGTATCACATTACTAATATTGAAGCTTTTATTGAAAATAATTTGGCATTTACATATTTATATTTATATGAGCATGCTCATTAATGATAGACTAATGACCACCAAATATCTGACATTCCACTGAATAGTCAGAAGTAGGTACCCTTTCCTAAATGAACTCTGCTTCTTGATCCACACCAAAGATTAAAAGTGAAATTTCTTGGGTTAAAGAATAATATTTGTTTACACTAGAAATAGTGAAAATGTTTTAGGGAGCCTGGATATGTTATCCCCCTTGCTGAATTATATTTGTCTTCTCAGCGAAATATGGGATCAAAGCTGTTCTAACACCTGCTTTTTTGTAAATAATATTTTATTGTTGGAACATAGCTACACTTTTATTCAGCTGTTGTCTATGGCTACTTCGAGTCTGCAGTGGCAGAACTGACTAGTTGTGACATATTCTTGCGTCCCCAGGTCTAAAATATTTACCATTTGTCACTCTACAGAAAAAAATTGGCCAATCCTGCCTTAAAGTGTGTTGAGAATTGTTCTGGCAGGCAATTAAGTTATCAACCAGTCAAGATTGATTTTTATTCTCTGTTCTATGTCCCTTTCATCCCTAGTTCCATAACGTTGCCTTTGGGTCATGGTCCTTAAACTTCTAAGAAGTGGCTTTTACAGAGTCTTAACCAAATATTTGGAAATATCCAATGAGGTCTCAGGTCTCTCTACGCTGATTAGGCTGGCACTCCAACATGTCCCTGATATACTTAACCTACTGGAATCTTGCTTTTCCTGTGTGTGTAGCCCCATCCTCAACCAAGTACTTGCAGGAAAGCCACATGTAGACTTTTGGGACTGCCTTCTTTGTTACTCTATCCTTCCGCTAAATTTCTCACAAATTCTAGCCAACTCAGGAGATAGAAAATGTATTTGCCTTTGGGGAACACAAAACATCTGGCATGCCCTACTTGGTCTCTACTTCCCTTCACCATGGCTAAAAATGACTCCAGAAGAAAGTTGGTGTCAATATGGGAAGAAGCTGGTGCTTTTTTTGAAGTCCTGCGTGGTCTGTGTCTAGTATCTGAAAACAGTTGTCTTACTGTGCCCAGTTTTACCGATTTAGGCAGAAGAGTATATCTAGTACCAGTTACTCTGCCATGGCTAAAATGAAAGAAATAGACAAGAAAAATTTTACTTGTAGTTATTGGCAATGGTACAATTTCAGGCTTTGGTATAAGTTAAAAATAACTTAGGAAAGTGTCAGTAATCATTAATCCATGTACTATTCTAAACCTGCATGATCTGAGGTAGAACTCTGCTACCAGGTCACATGCTGCTCCTCAGCCCTATAGGAATGGGCTTTTTGAAACACAGACAAGCTCAACTACAGTCCTAAGACACAGATTCAAAAGGAAGAAAGCCTTTGATATTTCTTTGATGTTTCTTGTCCCATCACGTGTAAGCTCACCAGCTCAGACTCCTGCTCCTTGACTTCTGGCTATGCAGATTTGTTACTGACTATGGTTTCTCTCTAATACTTTTTACGTTTTATTACAGTTCTCTCTTTCTGTCTCTCTCCCTCTCCATCTCTGACTCTTACTTCACTTTGATCTCACCCAGACACTTTATCATTATTAGCTTCCAAATATGCATCACTTTTAAGTAATACTAATATTAATCCAATAAAATGCTGAAAATAATAATACTGATAGACAACAATTTTATGAAACTGTGGAAAGTGTATACTTGTCAAGACCTTCGTTTGCATATATATATATATATGGTGTGTATATATATATGTGTATATATGTATATATATATGTGTATATATTTGTGTATATATATACATATGTGTATACATATGTATATATATACACACACCATATATATATATACACCATATATACACCATAAATATACACCATATTATATATGGTGTGTATATATATATACATATGTATACACATACGTGTATATATATACACAAATATATACACATATATACATATATACACATATATATATGGTGTATATATATATATGGTGTGTATATATATATATAAGGTATATATATATATATAAATATATATACGAGTATAAGGAAAATAGACAATTTCTCCAGAAATTTAGAGTGTATAATGGTATTATGAAGTGGCCTTTAGTGAGTGTGAAAATTCTTTGAAATTCTCTGGTGTAACAAAAAAATAAATAAATGTTTCTTTCCACTCTATGATATCAATATTTAATGTAATGCAAAATGTTTTAAATTACAAGTTATGTCAATTAGCTTCCTTTGTGCACTACTCAGGAGTATTTCAATTACAAGTAAATAACAGTAATAGTGATATAACTGAATACAATTTACTAGATTTTTTTCCCTTACAAGAGAAATTGGAAGAAATTTAGGAATAGTGAGGGTTCTCAATGATTTCATAAAGGAAAAGACTCCACATTTCTGCTGTGTAATCCTTATTCTGTAGGTTTCTTAACTTATGGTTGCAGACAGCTTATTAAACTCTAGTATGTATATTTGTCCTAGGTAAGAAAAAAAAGTAAAGTATTGACACTGACCACATTGTTTTCCCATGAAGTCCCTCAAGACATAATCTCACATTTTTTCGACTTGAGGCTTTTCACATGGCTGCCCCTAATATACATCAGCATAGGGGAGTGGAAGTGGAATTGGGTATTTTCACCACGAATGTCTCAAGAAAAATTAATGTTCTTGAAAGATGAACCATGTTTTTTTTGTGGCTTCCTAAACCCCCAGCTTAGTCATGGTCCATTATGAAAACAAGGAAATTGCACATAAAAATGTATTTTGATGTATCTTTTAGCACATCTTTTGCATATACTACATATTCTTAAGACATTTTCTTGGTACATATGCTGACATGCTTAGCTTCTTTTTATCTATCAGCTCCTCCCTAACAGCTACACACACACACACGCACACACACACACGTGCACACACAAACACTATACTAGCTCTTTATATAGAAAAAGTTAGGTAACTACAGACAATGTCCAATCATGACTGGTAAGCTGATTGTTCACAATAAATTTCTTTTCTTGTATCTTCTGTAGAGATTCACATAACTAACAATCTTCATATTACATATTCACAAGAGTTGTTAGCCTCTTTTCTCAGAAAAAAAATAGGCAGAGTATAGGTGAAATGAACTGGCATATACTTACCAGTATAAAGGTTTTTTTCCCATTTGAAAAAGCATATTCTTATTGAAGCAAGTAGAAATGTTTCTTTGTAGTTTATTACATATCTGTACATATTTTAAAGGAAGATATTTTACTTTACAAACTAAATCAATTAATTTCTGTGATCTGGAACTTTAAAAAAAAAACCCAAACTTTGCATTATTACTGGTAGTGAACAACACATCTCACAATTATTATAATACAGCTATGAAAATCTCTTTTTTATTCTGTATTATAGACAAATTTTATGGAAGACTTTTACTCTTCTTTTAGAAACTTGATTGAAATAAGTTATATATTAATTTTTAAAATTTGTTCATTAGTTTATAATGCAGGAAAAACATTTTAGGAGTAATCATAGGTGTAGCATGATCCATTTATGTCCTTAAAATTTAGAATGAGCAGTAAAGTCTTAGATAATTGTTTTTAATACTAATGATATGAGTAATATTATTACTCATAATAATGTTGATATTCTTAAGGATTTTTGCATTCTATAATAACAATGATTTGAAGACTGTGGTGACTTAGTGTATTAATATTTATGTATGGTAATCCATTATAAAAGGATTGTACAAAACACGTACCATACTAAAAGAATATTTTAATTAAATTAAATTTCTATGTATTCTCTTCTCAAGCTTGTTATTCTACTGCCTAGAGGAAGCTCTCAGTGACAATGACCACTGTGTTGCAGACATTCCTTGATGTTGGATAATAAAATCCCTGTGGACAAGCTATACATTTGCCTAGTGCCAACACATTCTTGGCAGCTAGAGTTCTCATATGATAAATGTTGCAATTAAAGCTGTGGAGTTGTGCATAAAATAACCTTCCTCAATCTTGCTTCAAATTAATCTGAAAACCATTAAAAAATAGAAAACTATGAAGTAGAATTTTCAAAGAAGCAAAGTGTATAATTTTACATAACTGATAGGTTATTAATATTAATAAACTTTCTTTTACCAAAAAGGAAATGTTATTTTGTGAGATCCCAAAAAGAGAAATAATGAAAGATTAACTAGAATAGTTTAATCTGTTGATAAGACTATCTTATTTTAAAGTACATGTTTTTAAAGAAAAACATTTATTTCTTTTTTATATTAGTGTTGATTATTTTTGGAATCGGAAAAATGACATTAAAGGCAATATTTATTTATAACTTACATTATATTATTTGAACTTTAATTCCAATATATGGACATATTTTTAATTTTACATATAAGTGTAAACACATACAATATTTTAATTTCCATCCATCTTTTCTTTTTTAAATTTGTTCTGCTCTCCTGTCTTCTTCCTTATCACCACCAATCAGCTCCACCTGTTTCCAGTATTATTCATTACCTACTGATGAATCTTTTCATCTTTTCCTGGTATTCATACAATACACAAATGTATATATGAATGCACGGGTCTATATGCACCCATACATACATACACATGAATAAGGAGATTCATTTGTTAGTATTTCTTTGCTTTATTTTTTTTCCAAACTTTTATTTTAGATTCAGAGAGCACATGTGCAGGTTTGTTTCCTGGGTATGTTTCATAATGCTGTGACCTGGGATATGAAGGATCCCATCACTGAGGTACTGAACATAATACCCAATAGTTAATTTTTTGATCCTTGCCTCTCTCCATACTTCTCCACTCAAGTAGTTCTCAATTTCTATTGCTGCCTTCTTTATTTCCATGAGGGCCCAGTTTCACTCTGATCATAGTTATTTCTTTTCTGCTTCTAGATTTGGGGTTTAGTTTGTTCTCGATTTTCTGTTTCCTGTAGGAGTGATGTTAGATCATTAATTTGAAATCTTTCTAACTTTCTGATGTAGGTATCTAGTGCTACAAACTTTCCTTTTAAGGTTGCTTTAGCTGCATGGTAGAGATTTTGGTCTGTTGAGTCTCTCTGTTTCCATTTACTTCAAAGAAGTTTTTTTTATTTCTACCTTAATTTCATTGTTTACCCAAAAGTCATTCAGGAACAAGTTGTTTAATTTCCATGTAATTATTTCGTTTACAGACCTTCTTGATTTTGATTTCTATTTTTAGTCCACTATGGTCCAAGAGGATGGTTGGTGTGATTTTAATTTTTTTTCTCATTTACTGAGACTTGCTTTATGGCTGAGTGTATGGTCAATCTTGGAGTATGTTCCATATGTGGAAGAAAAGATGTATATTCAGTGGTTGATGGGTGGAGTATTCTGTAGGTATTAGGTCAAATTGGTCAAGTATCAAGTTTAAGTCCATAATTTGTTAGTTTTCTGCCTTGATAATCTGTCTAACTTTCTAATGCTATTAGGGGAGTGTTGAAGTCCCCCACTATTATTGTGTGGCTAAGTCTCTTTGTAGGTGTAGACGTACTTGTTTCATGAATCTGGGTGCTCCAATGTTGGATGTGTATATATTTAAGGTAGTTAAATCTTCTTGTTGAATTGAAACCTTTATCATTATATAATGCCCTTCTTTGTTCTTTTTCACTATTGTTGGTTTAAGGTCTGTTTTATCTGATATGAAAGTAAAAACTGATGTTCTTTTTTGTTTTCTGTTTGCATGATAGGACTTTCTCCAACTCTGTACTTTTAGCCTATTGGTGTCATTACCTGTGAGATAAGTCTATTGAAGACAGCAGATAGATGGTTCTTGTTTTAATCCAGCTTGCCACTCTGTGCCTCTTAAGTGAGGGCATTTCAGCTATTTACATTTGAGGTTAATATTGATATGTGAGGTTTTGATCCTATCAAAACAATTTTAGCTGGTTGTTCTGTAGTTTTCATTGCGTGATTTCTTTATAGGGTCTGTGGGCTATATACTCACATAATTTTTGTGGTAGCAAAATTTGTTCACTTCCTTGCTTAGGACTCCCTTAAGGATCTCTTGTAAGGCTAGTCTAGTGGTAACAAATTCCTTTAGTGCTTGCTTTTCTGGAAAAGATTTTATTTCTCCTTTGCTTATGAAGCTTAGTTTGGCAGAATATAAAATTCTCGGTTGGAATTTGGTTGGTTCTTTTGTTTAAGTATGCTGAAAATAGGCCCCTAATCTCTCCTGGCTTATAAGACTCTGTTGAGAACTCTGCTGTTAGCCTGATAGGAATCTATCTGTACATGATCTGTCCATTTTTTCTAGGTATTTTTAAGATTTTTTTCTTTAGCATCGATCATAGACAGTCTGATGACTACAAGCCTTTGTGGGGTTCATTTTGTGTAGTATCTCGCAGGTGTTCTCTGGATTTCTAGGAAAATTAGAAACATTTTATTGAATCATTCCCTCAAGCATATTTTCCAGGTTGTTTACTTTTTCTCCTTCTCTCTCAGAAACACCAATAATTCATAGATTTGATCACTACATAAAACCATACTTCTCAAACATTCATTTTATTTTTTAAATTCTTTTTTCTTTATATTTGACTGGGTTAGTTCAAAAGACTTTCAGTTTTCAGGCTCTGAAATCCTTTCTTCTGCTTGATCTAGTCTATTGATAAAAGTTTCAATTGTACTTTGAAATTCCTTAAGTGAGTTTTTAATCCCATTAGCTCCAATTGATTTCTTTTTAATACATTTATCTCTTCCTTCATTCCAGGAACTGCTTTAGAAGTTTCTTTGTGTTGATTTTCAACCTTGTCTTGGATATAATTGAGCTTCCTTGTAATCTGTGCTTTGAATTCTTTATCTGTCATTTCTCAGTTTTCATTTTGGTTAGACTCTATTGTTCGACAGCTAATGCAATTCTTTAGTGGTGTCTCTACATTCAGATTTTTCACAGTGTCAGAATTCTTATACCGGTTTCTTCTCATCTAGAGATGTCAGCACTTCTAATTATTGTAATTACTTTTGTGTGGATAAAATATTTTTCTTTCTCTGTAATACTATTGGGATTTTTTTCTTTCCTTTTCCCTCTTACCCCATCACTATTGGGTGTGACTGTGACTGCAAAGAATGCTGAGTATGGTCTTTTGGCTTTGCTTCTATAGCCCTATGCACTTATTTCAGCAGGTTTTATATTGGGCTGTGCAGTGTGACCTACAAGCAAAAAGGGGGCACTTCTGGATGAAAGTTGGCTGTGGCCAATGCAGCTAGATATATACCTGATCCTTATTTACCGGGAGAAGCTCTGTTGCCGCAGGCAATGGACTGTTTAGTGGCATGAATAGTGATCTGAGCTCCCTGCTCTGCCTTTGGGGGATGAGGGCCATGATGACTGAAGCTGGACCAGGCAGGTCCGCCTATAGGTCCCCCCATGACAGGCACAAAGACCAGCATCAAGGAAGAATCCAGTGGGTGGCCACCAAGTGCCCTGAGGTGTGCCTAGGAATGGACCTGGGAAATACTCTCAGCCTCAAGTTCTGTACCCTTAGGGGGGATGACCTGAGCTACTAAACCAGGAGAATGGGTGCTCCAGATGCCTGGAGATTTGCCTGGGAATGGAGTAGAGAAGGGCCCCTGCACCAATATCTCTGCACAGAAAGGGTGGGTTAACTGAGGCTGCTGAACCAAGCAAGCAGGTGCTCCACATGCCCAGACATCTGCCTGAACGCAGAACGGAGACAGCCCCAATGCACCATCCTCCTCTAAGCCCAGGAAGGGTGGGATGGCTTAAGCTGCTGTAACAGATGAGTGGGTGCTCTGAATGCCTGGAGATTTGCATGGACATGAAGCAGAGACAGCCTCTCTGCCCCAGGGTCTCTGCACATGAAAAGTGGGGAGCATTAGGCTGCCAATCCAACTTAATGGGTATTCCAAATGCCTGGAGATCTGCCTGGATATGAAGCAGAGAGGGCACCACTGGACCGCAATTTTAGGGAAGCAGGCTGGGGCTCCCAGCAATGGCACACACAGACCAGTTTTAGGTTGCCAAGCTGGACTTGGCTGCAAGTCTTGCTGCCCCGGAGAAATTGCAACTGTAGCAGCTATCCTCCGGCTCCATACTGTGCGCGGGGAGAACCCAATTCCAGCACCTGCTGCTGAGGCACTGCACAATTCTGGCTGTGAAGGTCCTTGCCCCACTCCAGGGTGGGTGCTCTAATCTCTGGCCCGACACTAAAATGCCTATGCAGTCACGCTGTAGAGTTGCCAAAGAATGGCAGATTTTGTACGCACCTGGATTAAAAATGGCGTCCTGCTTTTCGTCCTGTGTCTACGGTAGATGTCTGCAGCTTTTCCCAGTATCTTTTCCTCACAGCATGTCCAAGCCTCTCCCCATTAGTTCCAGGTCTTGGGAGAAACACAATCCTCTCGTTCGTCCAGGGTTGCTCGGATTACTACTGGAAAGGTTCAGCAGAGAGGGAGGCTGTCTTCCTCTCTCACTTCCGAGGGCTTCACTCACTTTTAACAGTCAGATGCCATCATGGGTACTCTTTGCCGGTGTTCTCCCCAGGATCTGGGGTGTCCTTCGTGATTCTGGTGGATTCTCATTTTCCTTGTTGAATTAAAGCTCACAGAATTGATTTTTATGCACTGTTTTGTTATTTCCAAGTGGCTGAAGCATGCTAAAAGCCTCTAATCCATTATATGTTGGGGGCGGGGAAACTAAACTGTTTTAAATTGTTTTTTACAGAAAATGGAATCCTATTATACTCACTTTTCTGTAACTGTCTTATTCAATAGTAGTTTCTGAAAATCTAATTCAATATCATTTTTATATTCTTTTAAAAGATGTATCTATTCCATAGTTCAAATTCACCAGTATATATGACATTATTTCATTCTTTAAATAATTAACCCTTTAAAAGGTTTATGATCTGTTATTTGGGAATATACCATACATATCCATTCCAATGTTGATCTGATTTCTCTTACTGTACAGTTTTAACCATTATGGACAATATTGTAATCAATATCTTTTTGTATTTTGTATGAACATCAAATCTTATATGTTGATGTTTAGCTTTCACTAAATAAATTTCTAGGTGTAGCATGGCTGGATTTAAGTATTTATGTATTTTTTGTTGTTGTCGTTGTTGAGACGGAGTCTCGCTCTGTCGCCCAGGCTGGAGTGCAGTGGCGCAATCTCGGCTCACTGCAAGCTCCGCCTCCTGGGTTCATGCCATTCTCCTGCCTCAGCCTCCCCAGTACCTGGGACTACGGGCGCCCGCCACCGGGCTGGCTAATTTTGTTTTGTATTTTTAGTAGAGACGGGTTTCACCATGTTAGCCAGGATGGTCTCGATTTCCTGACTAAGTGATCTACCTGCCTTGGCGTCCCGAAGTGCTGGGATTACAGGCGTGAGCCACCGTGCCCGGCCTTACGTATTTTTTTTTAATTAAAAGGCATTGTTGTGGTTTCCAAAAGTACTGCAAAACTTTACCTTTCTAACATGCAGTGACATTTATATGTTCCTATCAGTAATAGATGATAACATTTTCTGCCTCATATCCTCTTGAAGATTTTGCTGAGTTGATAGGTGTGAAGCGATATTTCATTATCTTAATTTTAATTTGTGAATAAAATGGTGAACTAGGGTCTACATTTGATACCCATTTTAACTTTTGATATGCTGTAAAATATATCCCTAGACTAAGATCTTTGAGCCTGTTTCCTAATTTAAAAGATATTGGAAAAAAAATAGGCTCCTCCCTTTATAACACTGTTCTGAGGAATCAAATAAGCTAATTTGTACATAATAACTTAATACATTTTGAAGCATTATTTAGATTATAACTAAATACACATGCCCCTAAACTACAAATTACTGTCAAGACTCAGTTCTGAAATCTAGAAAATTAAGGGAAAATAATTCCCTCTTCTTATTCAGTTGCCTACCAGCTGTGAAATATATAGAGAAACTTAAAATCTAAATTTGTGCACAATTGTCTCCATTTTTCTCTTTGTTTCATTGGGATCTTCAGAGTTTCACATTTGTATTGATGGGCAATGTGGTGGCTAATTTTTTGTGTAAACATAAGTGGGCCCCAGGGTGCCCAGACATTTGGTCAAACTTTATTCTAGATGTGTCTTTGAGAGTGTTCAATTTGGCATTTGAGTTCTTTTGATGTGATCCTGGCAGTCTTTGTTGGTGCCCTTAATGCTCAAGGATCATCTTACACATTTTCTGTCTCAGACATGAAGCAGCCCTTTCTCTTAGAAACCTTGTCCCTTTCAGAGGAAATGCTTTTTTGGGAAAATCTGTAAAAGCAGGGTGTTCATAGTTACATATGTGGTCCTTGTTTCCAGCTGGTTTTAACTAATAGAGCTTCAAAATATGTATTTACCAAAAAAAAAAAAAAAATCATATGTGTTTGTGGGAGTGCCTTGACCTCTCTGTGAAGCAACTAGCTGCATGTTTTTACCTTCAGGCTTGAACCTATGCAGGGGCCTTGAACGTTTCCATGTACTGATGAACTTCTTTGGGCTGTTGCCTAAAATACCCAAAGATCAAATATGTTGGTAAACAGTAAAAACTATCTCTGGCCCTAACCTAAATTCCTCAAACTTTTATATAAACTTTATAGGGGACATACGTAGGTACATCTGTTTTCTGTCTGCCCATCGCAAGGGTCACTGTAGCACTCCCTGTGTAAGTTTCCCTTAAGAATCCTTTGGACTGATCTCCCTGGTACTCAGTGCTTCTTTCTTTGGAATTCCAACAATTCCAATCCCATTTTGTGACAGTTTGGGGCAGACTCCTGTGAGAATTCCATGCCAACACTTCTGGGATAACTCCAGCCATGGGTTCAGACAGACAAAACAAAGTTTAAACTTCTATTTCCAATTGGCCTTCAGAATTATGTGACTCCTAATTTATCTCATCATTCTTATATTTCTATTTCTATATTTCCACACAAAAAGAATTTAATTTCTTTTTTCCTTTTTTCACTTGTTTTTAAATTTAAATTTCTTTAAATTTTACTTTAAGTTCTGGGATACATGTACAAAACATGCAGGTTTGTAGGAATGGATAAATTCCTGGACACACACACCCTCCCAAGACTAAACCAGGAAGAAGTAGAATCCCTGAATAGACCAATAACAGGCTCTGAAATTGAGGCAGTAATTAACAGCCTACCAACCAAAAAAAGCCCAGGACCAGACGGATTCACAGCTGAATTCTACCAGAAGTACAAAGAAGAGCTGGTACCATTCCTTCTGAAATTATTCCAAACAACAGAAAAAGGGGGACTCCTTCCTAACTCATTTTATGAGGCCAGCATTATCCTGATACCAAAACCTGGCAGAAACACAACAAAAAAAGAAAATTTCAGGCCAATATCCCTGATGAACATTGATGCAAAAATCCTCAATAAAATACTGACAAACTGAGTCCAGCAGCACATCAAAAAATTTAATTTCTTATTACACAAACCTACTTACTTATTTGTACTACATGCTTAACCTTCTCAAAATGATGACACCATAAATAATCGAATTCATCAAAAAAGAGCAATTATATTAATGTAAATATTGTTTTGAATATGTTTTTATCCCAAGGGTATATTTCGCTAGGATGCACAATCAAATTATTGTGCCTTATTGTCACTTGGAATACTTCCACTATATAACTGTATACATAGTTTCATTTGTTTCAGTTTAAATGATTAGGACTTGCTTCTTTTGAATTTAATTTTATAATCATATAAAGTGTTTATGTGTTTCCAAAATTATATTTACAATATAATGTGCATTCATAGAAGGCTAGGTTCTAATCATATCCCCTCCAATCGATTCCCTTCCTTACCCTATAGGAAATATTTAAAAAATATTATGGTTATCCTTCTATGATTATTTTGAACAAGAAAGCAGATATTTGTATATATGTGAGCTTCTTTGGCTGGCACTTGTTAATTGTTCTGAGCCTCAAAGGAGCGTAAGTAAATAAATGTATTTCAAACTATTATTATGTTTAACTTAAAAATAAACTGGTTATATTTTCTTAACAAAATAAAGAAAAATTTCTCAGTACTGATTTCTTTTTTCAGTACTTTATTGTATGCATTTTCTCTGGTCATTGAACTAGTTCCCTATTTTTGAATATTGAGTTTTTACCAGCTTTCTGCTATGACAAGTAGGTCTACAACAAATACCCTCGTGTATACATCTTTTCATGCTTTTGTCAGTGTACATTTGGAATAGATCCTATAAGTAGACTTGTTAAATGAGAGATACATTTATGTATACTTTAATATTTGAGAAATCATCATTTATTTGACATGTTTATTTGAAATACATAGACCAAATATTTATAACAGCACTATTTATCCTTCAAACACATAATTGAAATAAATTTTATAAGCTTTAGTAAAGAGGTATTATATTAACAATATCAATTATATGAAATTTAATGAATTCCCTTAGGATATATTTGATGTTTATGTTTTGAATTTTTTTTGTTTTTTTGATCATCAAATAAATGACTCTGATAACAATGCCATTTTAACATATTTATTGAAAAGCAGAATATTGTTTGTACTTTTCAAACGAAGACATCACTTGATTGCGAAAAGTAGTTCTTCACCCTGATTCTATTATTATTATTATTATTGTTATTAAGCTGAGGAAAAACTTAAACAAAGACAACACTGTAATTTATAACGGAACTTAAACTATAAAAAGATATTTCTGCATATAAAAGAAGATATAAACATTAGCACTGTGGATAGATTCAAATTTTTGAGACATTTATTCATAGTTTAGAATAGTATACATTGATATATTTTAATTTAATGCCTACTGTCTTTCTTTGAAAATATGCTCATTTTGCTGTGTAGTATCTATCCACAATGGTTCTAAACCACAAAAATAGCAATGCGCAAGCCTGAGTTTCTTTCATTTAATTAAAATCTTTTGCTTATATGCTGAATTAATAACACTGCTTTTAGAAATGTTGGTATAACATTCCTATTGATTAATTTTCTTTCTCAAACCTGAATTCAGGAGTAGAAATACTTCTTGATGGGAAAATAGAGTTAATTAGAAAGCAGTATGAATGCTGGTATAGAAGAATTTATTGTGGTCATATTTGCAAAAAAACGACCTACATTCCTGTAGTTCTAAAAACTGTCACATTAAAAGCAGCTGCAAGAGAATATGCAATTTATAATTTGGTATATGTAACTATTATCTAAAAATTCCTTGAAGATTTAATTTTACATAACTTAAATACGTTTTGTTGATTAAATATACAACCTAGAAATTGAAGTAATATGTATCATTGAAGATTACTACATCCTAATTAAACATAATATTCCTTATTTCAATTAAATTCATAAATTTCAGTTCCATGCATGGTTTTTGAGTCAGATTGCCTGCGTTCAAATCCTGTCTCTGTAATTCTCTAGCTGTATAATCTTGGACCCAATTAAACTTCTAAAACTTCAATTCCTGTTTATTTTGAACTGATATAATAATAAGATTCCTCTCATTTTAATTTGATTAAATGAAAATGAATGATTTCTCTCTGGCAATTAGTGTAAGTTGTGTAGCTATTATTGAACATTTAGTAGGTATCAAACACTACTTAGTGGTTATAGGTATAGATAATGAAGTATATATCTGATAAACTCAAGTATAATTATTTAATTTGGTTACATTTCTTTGTAAGAAACAAAGACTCATTTATGTGGAGGGAATTATCATATTATTATAAATTATAACATTATAATTGATTACAAGAAGAAATAAGGGGAATTTTTAAAATTCAAAATAAAAGGAAATGCAGAATAGGCCTTCCCTGAGGCCAGAGTTTGTTGTACATAGAAGCCAGAGTTCTCCTGCAGGAGAGCTTTATTCCTTTACCTCTTTGAGCTATGGTTGGTCCATATGGCTTACTTACCCAATGGGATTTGAGCAGAAGTGATGTATGCATATTCTAAGTGGAAACTTCGAGTCATTTTATGTTTTGGATAGTACTCTTCTAAAAAGAACAGCATGTTTTAAAGTGGTTTCTGCTTTAGTCTGAATATTTGAATAAAGAAAATTCATGGGGTAGAGCCAAGCAGAATGAAACAAAATCATAGTTGACTTCAATGGCTGGAGCAGTTCCAGAGAACTGCTGCTGACATACATTGTGAGCAAAAAGAACATTGTTGTGGTTAAGCCACTGAGATCATAAGCTGTTTATAATGATATCACAATCCTGCAAAGTTTTTTTGAATTGGAAAATACTGGAATTGTGTTCCGGGTTAGGGCAGAAATTCAGAGGTGATATTGGAACATAGGAAACTTAGGAAACATCTTTCTTGAAATTCTTTTATAACATTATGGATACTCTGACAGGATTCTCTGAAGACAAAATCCATTATTTTTATAAATTTATTTTATTTTCAATTTTTGTGGGTACATAGTGGGTGAATATATTTATGGGGTACATGAGGTTTTTTGATACAGGCATGCAATGTGAAATAAGCCCATCATGAAGAATAGGATATACATCTCTCATGCATTTATCCACTGAGCTACATTATTTTAAAATGTATAGTTAAGTAATTATTGACTATAATCCCCCTATTGTGCTATCAAATAATAGATATTATTCATTTTTTCTAACTATTTTTTGTACTTATTAGCCATCCCCACCTCACTGCTTTTTCCCCACTACCCCTCTCAGCCTCTGATAACCATCCTTCTACTATATCCATGAGTTCAAATGTTTTAATTTTTGGATTCCAAAAATAAATGAGAAAATGTAATGTTTGTCTTTCTGTGCCTGAGTTACTTCGCTTAACATAATCATCTCCAGTTCTATCCATGTTGTTGCAAATGACTGGATCTCATTCTTTTTTATGGCTAAATAGTACTCTATTGAGTATATGTACCACATTTTCTTTATCCATTCATCTGTTGGTGGACACTTAGTTGTTTCCAAATCTTAGCAATTGGAAACAGTGCTGCAGCAAACATAGGGGTGCAGATATCAGTTTGATACACTGATTTTTTTTTCTTGTGGGTATATATCCAGCACTTGGATTGCTAGATCATATGGTATCTCCAGTTTTAGTTTTTGAAGAAACCTCCAAATTGTTCTCCATAGTTGTACTAATTTGCATTCACACCAACAGTGTATGTGGGTTTCCTTTTCTCTATATTCTCACCAGCATTTGTTATCTCCTGTTTTTTGGATATAAGTCACGTTAACAGGGGTGAGATGATACCTCAATGTAGTTTTGATTTGCACTTCTGTAATGGTCAGTGATGTTGAACCCCTTTTTAAATGCCTGTTTGCCATTTGTATGTCTTCTTTTGAAAAATCTTTTACCCATCTTTTGATTGGATTATTAGATTTTTTCCTATACAGTTGTTTGAGCTCCTTATATATTCTAGTTATTAATCCCTTGTCAGATGGGTAGTTTGAAAATATTTTCTCTCATCCTGTGGGGTGTCTCTCCACTTTGTTGATTGTATTCTTTGCTATTCAGAAGCTTTTTAACTTGATATGATCCCATTTGTCCGTTTTTGCTTTGGTTTCCTGTGCTTGTGTGGTATTGCTGAAGAAACTTTTGCCCAGACTAATGTCCTGGACACTTTCTTTAAAATTTTTGTAGAAGTTTTATAGCTTGAGGTCTTAGATTTAAGTCTTTAATTCATTTTGATTTATGTATATGGCAAGAGACAGGGGCACATTCTTCTGCATATGGATGTCCGGTTTTCCGAGAGCCATTTATTGAAGAGACTATCATTTCCCTAGTGGTACATTTGTTGAAAATGAGTATACTGTAGGTGTATGGATTTGTTTCTGGTTTCTCTATTCTGTTACTTTGGTCTATGTGTCTATTTTTTGCCAGTGCCATGTTGTTTTGGTTACTAAAGCTTTGTAGTATAATTTGAAGTCAGGTAATGTAATGTAATTTCTCCAGTTTTGTTCTTTTTGCTTGGGATAGCTTTAGCTATTCTTGGTGCTTTGTGGTTCCACATAAATGTTAGCATAGTTTTCTCTATTTCTGTAAAGAATGTCATTGGTATTTTGATAGGGATTACACTGAATCTGTAGATTGCTTTGGGCAGTATGGGCATTTTAATAATATTGATTCTTCTAATCCATGAACATTGAATTTTTTTCTAGTTTTTTGGTGTTCTCTTCAAAAGTGTTTTATGGTTTCTATTATAGACATCTTTCACTTCTTTGTTGTAATGTATTATAAATATTTTTTAATTATTTGATTTATTATAGAGATCTTTCACTTCTTTGTTTATTTAATTTTCTGTGTGGCTGTTGTAAATAGGATTGCTTTTAAAATTTCTTTTTTGTACTGTTCACTGTTGACATATAGAAATGTCCTGATTTGGGTATGTTTATTTTGTATCCTGCCACTTTACTGAATTTTTATAGTTTTCTTGTGCAGTCATTAGATTTTTTTTCAAATATAAGATCATATTATCTGAAAACAGGGATCATTTGACTTCTTCCTTTTCAACATGGTTACATTTTATATCTTTCTCTTATTTGATGCTCTAGCTAGGACTACTAGTACTATGTTGAATAACAGTAATGACAGTGGGCATTCTTGTCATTCAGTTTTCCCCATTCAGTATGATACTAACCATGGATGTGTCATATATGGCTTTTATTATGTTGAGGTTAAGATGTCTATGTTCTAATCCCTAGAACCTGTGAATATGTTTCCTTACATAGCAGAAGGGACTTTGCAAATGTGATTAAGTTAAGAGACTTGAGATAGGTAGACTACCCTATTTTTGTGGACTCAATTTTATCACAATGCAGTAGACTCACAATCGAAGAGAAATTTTAAAATGTTATAATGCTGTATTTGAAGTTGGAAGAAGGCCATGAACCAAGGAATGCTGATGGACTCTAGAAGGTGAATAAAGCAAAGAAGCTAATTTTTCCTTAGAGTCTCTAGAAGGAATGCAGCCCTGGCCACAATGATATGAGCTCAGTAAGACCAATTTTGTACTTCTGACCTTCAGAACTGTAAGATAATAAATTTGGGCTGTTTTAGTCTGTTAAATTTGTGATAATTTGTCATAGAATCATAGGAAACAAATATGAAATAATATTTTTGTCTTTTTTTGGGGAAATGATTATTGTGGTAGAATACACAAAAAGAAAAATGTACATGTTATCACAAACAAAACAGAAAAAAAGACCAGGACACTGAACATTCCCAACACCATAGAAGATTAATCCATGACTCATATCAACATTTGACCCAATAGATTCAGTTTGCCTTTTTTAACTTTATATAAATGAAATGAGAGTATGTAATATTTTGTCCTAACGTTACATCCCACGTAATGCCTGTAATTTTTTTCCATATGTATCTGTATAGTTGTAGATTATTCAGTGTTCAGTTCTGTATTTTGTAGCTCTGTGTTATGATACAGAAATGTATCAATTTTATTGTTAATATTCATCTAAGTGTTTTTGTTTTTGAAAAGTTAAAAATAGTACTATTGTGAGAACACTTGTCTTTGGGGATCATGTACACATGTATGTTGCATATATGTTTACTGAAATATACTGGAAGTAAAAGAATGTTGCGTTAAAAGATATACACATATTCAACTTCAATAAATTTTGCCAGTGATATATTCAACATAAAAGATGGCTATAAATTCTTTGACACACCTTCTATTTTTAGGAGGGGTATATTATTTCCCGTTCCCGTGAATCTGGGCAGGATCTGTGACTTTCTAAGAATAGAATATGGTAGAATCAATTTGTACCTATTTCTGGGCTGAGGCCCTAAGGCACTGGGTGCTTCTACATCTACTCTGAAAATATTTGCTTATAATTGTATTCCCTTTGGGACTCAGCCACAGTACTTGGAGAAACCCAAGGCATATGGAGAAACCACATGTAGGCACTGTTGTTAACAGCTCCCAGCATCAACTGCTAACTGGCTACTAGCATCCCAATCCTAGTGCTAGACATGTGAGTAAGAAAGTGATCCAGAAAGTAGATCCTCCAGCCCTAGCCAGCCCACTTAACACTATGGAGTTTAGAGGAAAATACTCTAGTCAAAGTTTCCCCAAATTTATGACCCACAAAATAATTTCGTTGGTTTAAGCCACTAAATGATAAGGTAGTTTATTACTTAGTAATATAAAACCGAAACAGAAATTTGGTACATAAAAGTGAAGTACTACACACCAGTAACTTAAGATGTATGACATTGGCTTTCAAGCTAGGCAGTGAGCAGAGGCTGGAAGGGTTTTGGCAAGATTGTGTGTGAAAGCTAGGAGATCCTCAAGAATGCTTAATGACTTGAAAGACAGTAAGAAGATGTTGAATGCTAGAGGAAAGGTATAACTTTCATGTAGTAGGGGCAAATTTGGCAACAATGTCACCTGTGGGAATATGGAAAATATAAAGACTGTCTAATTAAGCAGCCAATTTAGCAGGAGAGATTTTTTAGGAACAACATAGAAAGTGGCATCTGACTTTTACTAGCTGCCTATGATATAACCCAGGGAAAGATAGATAAATTTTAAAAAGAACCGTTGCAATTTTGAGTAGCATTTAGGAGAAATATTAAAAAGCAGAAAATTCTAAATTTGAAAATGAAACTTTCTCATTTCTAGGCTCTTTCCGTAAAAGATTCTTAAAGTATGAAATAACTTTAAGTAAGATTACATCTGTGACTAGACTCTTTTATCCTACATAAATTCCTCAGAATAATTCCAGGCAGATAACTTGTCTCTTTAGTTCACAGATCTTTAGAGCTAAGAATAACTGCCCCTGAGAAATATAATTCATTCCTGAACCTGATTTATATGATGAGATCTTGGAACTTAAGCCTAATCCTGTTCGACTAATGGGTTAAACATTTTAGAGTCTTGGAAATGGGGCATTCTGTATGTGTCAGGAATGTAAATAATTTGTGGCTCAGGTGCAGATTTTATTGGTCTGCATACAGCTACAAATTTTTTCATATTCCTCTTATCTAGCAGTGGGCCCTCTTTCTCTCGATCTGCAATATGTACAGGCTTTATGAGTCCTTTGCCCAGTAGAATGTGTCAGAATTGATGCTATATCAATTTCCAGGGCTAAACCTACTTCTTGTCTCTTGAAATTGTTGACTCTGAGAAGCCAGCTTTCATGACATGAGAACAATGTGTAGGGGCTCCAGTAACAGCCACAGCTCTTCACAGAGTGGTTCTTAGCTTTCTACAATTTTAGATAATTTCATTTTTAAAAAGTCTAATTTTAATGCATTCAAAAACATGATTATGAAACTGGAAACTGTGAGTTCTACATCAGTTTGGTCATAATGAGGTGTAGCAGACACTGCTAATTACTCAATTCCTCAATATTAATTTTATATTCCTTCTTTATAACTTAA
Organism: Homo sapiens; assembly: GCF_000001405.40. Lineage (NCBI taxonomy): Eukaryota > Metazoa > Chordata > Mammalia > Primates > Hominidae > Homo > Homo sapiens. The sequence continues at coordinate 110,206 of NW_003315915.1, read as the reverse complement.
CCCTGACACTTTCAGGGCAGCAAGAGCTGAACTTAATTTCCAAGGTTTCCTGTTAGTTACAGGGATATGATATGGCTGTGGCCTGTGATATGTAGATGTTAATGGCTGACAAAGAGTTAATAAAAATAATGTCTCATAGAAAAACATGCTGTGTTCATGTATTGGGAGACTTAATATTGACAAAATGAAAATACTACCCAAAGTGATCAGAAGACAAAATGCAGTCTCAATAAAAACCTTGAAATGTTATTTTGTTGTTGTTGTTGCAGATTTAAAAAAGCTGATCTGTAAGAGATCCAGAATACACACTGCAATGTTGAAGAAAAATCAAAATTGGAGGACTAACACTTTCCAATTTCAAAGCTTACTGCAAAGCTACTGTAATATAAACAGTAGGGTGTTGGTGTAATAATAGACATATAGAATAATGGAATAGAATTGAGAGGCCATACATAATCCCATGCCCTATGTTCAATTGATTTTTATCATGGATGCGAAGACCAGCCAATGGGGAAAGGAGAATCTCTTCAACAAATGCTGTTTGATCAACTGTATATCCACATGTAAAATATTGAAGGTGGATGCTGCCTGTCCTACAGTAAACAGACAAATCAACTCAAAATACATCAAACAACTAATTGTAACTGCTAAAACTATACAATTTCATAGAAATTAAATTGGACTTCATAAAAATTAAAAAAATTTGTGTATCAAAGATAATATCGAGGATGTAAGAAGTCAACCTTTGAAATGGAAGAAATATTTGAAAATTATATACCTGATAAGTGTCTAATATCCAGAATACATAAAGAACTCTTACAACTCAACAACAAAAGAACTCTTACAACTTAAAAACAAAAGAGCAGACAATTCAATTTAAAAATGGGTGAAAGACTTGAATAAACATTTCTCCAAAGAAATTATGCAAATGACTAACAAACATATAAAAAGATGCTCAACATCATTATTTAGTAGAATAATGGAAATCAAAACCACAATGAGATACCACTTCACATTCATGGCTATAAATTATTTAATGAAAAATAGCAGTAACCGGCAAAGATGTGAAAAAATAATACCCATCATTATTGCTGATTGGCATGTAAAATGTCGTAGTCTCTTTGGAAAATAGTTTGTTACTGGCTCAAAAAGTTAAACATAGAATTATCTATGAGCCAGAAATTCTATTCCTGTGTATATAGCCCCCCAAAATTGAAAACAGGTATTTAAACAAATACTTGTATGAGTGATTATAACAGCACTATTCTCAATAGCCCAAAGGTAGAAACACATTAAATGTCCATCAGCAGATGAATGGAAAAAAAATGGGTTATAGCCATACAATTGAATTTTAGGTAGTCATAAAAAAGGAGTGAAGTAGGCCAGACGCGGTAGCTCACGCCTGTAATCGCGGCACTTTAGGAGGCCGAGGCGGGCGGATCACGAGGTCAGGAGATTGAGACCATCCTGGTTAACACGGTGAAACGCCCTCTCTACTAAAAATACAAAAAATTAGCTGGGAGTGGTGGCGGGCGCCCGTAGTCCCAGCTACTCGGAGGCTGAGGCAGGAGAATGGCGTGAACCCGGGAGGCGGAGCTTGCAGTGAGCCGAGATCATGCCACTGCACTCCATCCAGCCTGGGCCACAGAGTGAGACTCCGTCAAAAAAAAAAAAAAAAAAAAAAGAAAAAGGAGTGAAGTACTAATACATACCACAATGTGACTCAACCTTAAAGACATTATGCTAAGTGAAATAAGTTAGACACAAAAGACAAAGTATGTAATTCTATATGTATGAAATATCCAGAACAGATGAATGCATAGAGATAGAAAACAGATTAGTATTTTCCATGGGTTGGGAAGTAACCGCTTAATTGGTACAGGGCTTTCTTTTGTGATGGTGAAAATGTTTTAGAACTAGATAGAGATGATGATCGCACAACATTGTGAATGCACTATAAGTTACTGAACTGTACATTTAAAAATAGTGAATTTTATGTAACAAGAGTTTTACCTTGATCTAAAAAGTAATAAGAGGCACATACACAAATATGATTAATATGCCTTAAAGAGACATGCTTTGAGTTTCTTTTTATTTTTTTCCAGTAATGCGTATGCAATGCCTGGAGCTGCAGTAGTCATTTTGAGACCTTGAAAGTCGCTGGGCGCACGGGCTCACGCCTGTTGAAATCAGCATTCAAAACTGAGTGCCTATGTTTATTTTAACATGAAAATGAGTTAACTTTTTTGTAGGTCCTTAGAGACCTACAAAGAGACTTAGACTCCCACACAATAATAATGGGAGACTTTAACACCCCACTGTCAACATTAGACAGATCAACGAGACAGAAAGTTAACAGGGATATCCAGGAATTGAACTCAGCTCTGCACCAAGCGGACCCAATAGACATCTACAGAACTCTCCACCACAAATCAACAGAATACACATTCTTTTCAGCGCCACACCATACCTATTCCAAAATTGACCACATAGTTGGAAGTAAAGCACTCCTTAGCAAATGTAAAAGAACAGAAATTATAACAAACTGTCTCTCAGACCACAGTGCAATCAAACTAGAACTCAGGATTAAGAAACTCACTCAAAACCGCTCAACTACATGGAAACTGAACAACCTGCTCCTGAATGACTACTGGGTACATAACGAAATGAAGGCAGAAATAAAGATGTTCTTTGAAACCAACAAGAAAAAACACACAACATACCATAATCTCTGGGACACATTCAAAGCAGTGTGTAGAGGGAAATTTATAGCACTAAATGCCCACAAGAGAAAGCAGGAAAGATCTAAAATTGACACCCTAGTATCACAATTAAAAGAACCAGAGAAGCAAGAGCAAACACATTCAAAAGCTAGCAGAAGCCAATAAATAACTAAGATCAGAGCAGGACTGAAGGAAATAGAGTCACAAAAAAACCCTTCAAAACATCAATGAATCCAGGAGCTGGTTTTTTTTTAAAAGATCAACAAAATTGATAGATCGCTAGCAATACTAATAAAGAAGAAAAGAGAGAAGAATCAAATAGACACAATAAAAAATGAAAAAGGGGATATCACCACTGATCCGACAGAAATACAAACTACCATCAGAGAATACTATAAACACCTCTACGCAAATAAACTAGAAAATCTAGAAGAAATGGATAAATTCCTTGACACATACACTCTCCCAAGACTAAACCAGGAAGAAGTTGAATCTCTGAATAGACCAATAACAGGCTCTGAAATTGAGGCAATAATTAATAGCCTACTAACCAAAAAAAATCCAGGACCAGATGGATTCACAGCCGAATTCTACCAGAGGTACAAGGAGGAGCCGGTACCATTCCTTCTGAAACTATTCCAATCAATAGAAAAAGAGGGAATCCTCCCTAACTCATTTTATGAGGCCAGCATCATCCTGATACCAAAGCCTGGCAGAGACACAACAAAAAAAGAGAATTTTAGACCAATATCCTTGATGAACATTGATGCAAAAATCCTCAATAAAATACTGGCAAATCAAATCCAGCAGCACATCAAAAACCTTATCCACCATGATCAAGTGGGCTTCATCCCTGGGATGCAAGGCTGGTTCAACATATACAAATCAATAAACGTAATCCAGCATATAAACAGAACCAATGACAAAAACCACATGATCATCTCAATAGATGCAGAAAAGGCCTTTGACAAAATTCAACAGCCCTTCATGCTAAAAACTCAATAAATTAGGTATTAATGGGACGTATCTCAAAATAATAAGAGCTACCTATGAGGAACCCACAGCCAATATCATACTGAATGGGCAAAAACTGGGAGCATTCCCTTTGAAAACTGGCCCAAGATAGGAATGCCCTCTCTCACCACTCCTATTCAAAATAGTGTTGGAAGTTCTGGCCAGGGCAATCAGGCAGGAGAATGAAATAAAGGGTATTCAATTAGGAAAAGAGAAAGTCAAATTGTCCCTGTTTGCAGATGACATGACTGTATATCTAGAAAACCCCATCGTCTCAGCCCAAAATCTCCTTAAACTGATAAGCAACTTCAGGAAAGTCTCAGCATACAAAAATCAATGTGCAAAAATCACAAGCATTCTTATACACCAATAAAAGAAAAACAGAGAGCCAAATCATGAGTGAACTCCCATTCACAATTGCTTCAAAGAGAATAAAATACCTAAGAATCCAACTTACAATGGATGTGAAGGACCTCTTCAAGGAGAACTACAAACCACTGCTCAATGAAATAAAAGAGGATACAAACAAATGGAAGAACATTCCATGCTCATGGGTAGGAAGAATCAATATCGTGAAAATGGCCATACTGCCCAAGGTAATTTATAGATTCCATACCATCCCCATCAAGCTAACAATGACTTTCCTCACAGAATTGGAAAAAACTTTAAAATTCATATGGAACCAAAAAAGAGCCCACATTGCCAAGTCAATCCTAAGCCAAAAGAACAAAGCTGGAGGCATCACGCTACCTGACTTCAAACTATACTACAAGGCTACAGTAACCAAAACAGCATGGTACTGGTACCAAAACAGAGATATAGACCAATGGAACAGAACACAGCCCACAGAAATAATGCCACATGTCTACAACTATCTGATCTTTGAGAAACCTGACAAAAACAAGAAATGGGGAAAAGATTCCCTATTTAATAAATGGTGCTGGGTAAACTGGCTAGCCATATGTAGAAAGCTGAAACTGGATCCCTTCCTTAAACCTTATACAAAAATTAATTCAAGATGGATTAAAGACTTACATGTTAGACCTAAAACCATTAAAACGCTAGAAGAAAACCTAGGCAATACCATTCAGGACATAGGCATGGGCAAGGACTTCATGTCTTAAAACACCAAAAGCAATGGCAACAAAAGCCAAAATTGACAAACGGGATCTAATTAAACTAAAGAGCCTCTGCACAGCAAAAGAAACTACCATCAGAGTGAACAGGCAACCTACAGAATAGGAGAAAATTTTTGCAATACACTCATCTGATAAAGGGCTAATATCCAGAATCTACAATGAACTCAAACAAATTTATAAGAAAAAAGCAAACAACCCCATCAACAAGTGGGCAAAGGATATGAACAGACACTTCTCAAAAGAAGACATTTATGCAGCCAAAAGACACATGAAAAAATGCTCATCATCACTGGCCATCAGAGAAATGCAAATCAAAACCACAATGAGATACCATCTCACACCAGTTAGAATGGTGATCATTAAAAAGTCAGGAAACAACAGGTGCTGGAGAGGATGTGGAGAAATAGGAACACTTTTACACTGTTGGTGGGACTATAAACTAGTTCAACCATTGTGGAAGTCAGTGTGGCGATTTCTCAGGGATCTAGAAGTAGAAATACCATTTGACCCAGCTATCCCATTACTGGGTATATACCCAAAGGATTATAAAACATGCTGCTATAAAGACTCATGCACACATGTGTTTATTGCAGCACTATTCACAATAGCAAAGGCTTGGAACCAATCCAAATGTCCAACAAGGATAGACTGGATTAAGAAAATGTGGCACATATACACCATGGAATACTATACAGCCATAAAAAAGGATGAGTTCATGTCCTTTGTGGGAACATGGATGAAGCTGGAAACCATCATTCTCAGCAAACTATCGCAAGGACTAAAAACCAAACACCGCATGTTCTCACTCATAGGTGGGAATTAAACAATGAGAACACATGGACACAGGAAGGGGAACATCACACACCAGGGACTGTTGTGGGGTGGGGGGAGGGGGGAGGGATGGCATTAGGAGATATACCTAATGTTAAATGACGAGTTAATGGGTGCAGCACACCAGCATGGCACATGTATACCTATGTAACAAACCTGCACGTTGTGCACATGTACCCTAAAGCTTAAAGTAAAAAGAAAAAAAAAATAAAAGAAATACTACCTCCACCGGGTGATGAAGGCAACCAGCGTTTGCATGGATGGTCAGAAATAGATTTGACTTGAAAGGATTAAATAATGTTGAGGTGGTGAGTCAAACCACTTAATTTCCCTAAAAAAAGTTTTATTTCACTCTATTAATATTTTAGGTGTACAAATTTTGGCAATTTAAAACATCTGTCTGTTTTCATACATTTCTATGCTTCTAAGTTGTTTGACATCAAATATTATGTATTTTTTATTGTTCTCTCTCCACATCTATTTGGGGTCACCAGATTTAGCAAATTTAAAATACAGAACATCCCCTTAAATGTGATTTTTAGATAAACAAGAAAAGTAAGTTCTTAGTATAAGCGTGTCCTAAATATTGTAAGGGTCACATATCCTCTGAAAACATATTTGTTGTTTATGTAAAATTCAAATTTAACTGGGCATTTCATATCATATGTGACAATCCTAACTATTGAAGTGCCTGAAATATAACAGGCATTCTGCATTTTTGTTTAGTAAATGAATAAATGAATATGCCATTCCAACCCAAACTCATGTGCTGTCACTGTCCTTGGTATTGCAATGTTAATTTACATTTTTGTGTTTTAGCACTTTCCCCTCTTTTTTCTTCCTCTCTTTTGTGACTCTGTTGTCTCCAATGTCTCTCAAATGATGGTTAATCACCTTACTATTACCTCTTTCAGGACATGTTTCATAACTATTTAAATATATTTTATCGAATATTGTAACACATTATTGTTTATTTAATCCAGGATAATGCCTATAAACTATTTTACCACCTAATGGCTGTATTTTTTAATTTTACTGAATTTTAGAAATATACTTTAATAATATAATTATATAAGAAATATAGAGGCTTTAATGAACTATATAAAATGAGAAAGACATGTATATTAGATTGCCGTGGGATATTTTCATTTTTAGACTCATTTCAGCTCATATAATATGAGAAGGACCAAGCTGAAATTCCAATACTTTTTTATGGTTGCCAGTAGAGTCAACAAAATGCAACTTCCCTGCTTCTACACCCCAATAGCACACAATCCAGTTGGTTTATACCCAAATTAGAACCACCATACCATGTCAGGAAAAGATAAGCACTTTCAATATGCTTGTCATGTCAATTAATCCAGTATCCCATTAATAAGCTACTGATGTGGATTCAATTGCATCACAAGTAACACAACTACCATGTTTTCTGTTAACATCCTTCTAAAGTTTCTTTAAACTAGAATTTTTATTTCCCTGGATGAGGTTTTTATTCAAAACTTTCCTGTGAAAATTTGCTCAACATGGTACTTATTATAAAAATTCTCAGAGGCAAGATGTTTTTATTCTTGTTTTATAGAAAAAGAATCATGGAAACTAGTATTTGTGGGATATTTTTGATACAGAGCTTCAGGAAACGTTGGAAGTGGAGTATTTGTGTTAATTTTGGTCAAAAACACAATGTAAGACAAAATTTGTTATTCAAGATCTTACCTTTGAACAACCTTGGCCAAATATACACAAAGTCAACTAAAGAATCCCGCATATATATTTCATCGTGACATATGAAGGTTCAGGTTATTTTAGAGAACTCTCAACAGTGAAAGGCACCAGAGCCTCAGGCCTAAACCCCTTGAAAATCTTACCGTTGACTCAAGATATAATAGTTTCATCTCAGTAACAGAACCTGAACTATCATGTCTTTTAACTTTTACAAACTCTGGCTCTTCAACAAGTATGTCTTAATATATTTGGCAGTTAGAAGGTGTCTTTTGAAAACAGTCATCTTTTCTCTTCCAGAATAACAAGAGAAAGAAAAAGAAAAGTGTTCAAAAAATGCCCAAATATATTAGGTTTAAAACTCTTCAGTTTTTAAATTTCTTTGTAAAATTTCAGCTGATTTCAAAGTCACAATGTCAGCAAATGTCACAATTAACCCAATCCCAAGGCTTTGATATAGTTCATCAAAATGTTTCTTACATATGGATAGATCCAATGTATTATCTGCTCTAAATACAACTCCTAGAGAAATGTAAACTGGAGAAATTACTTACACGTTTTCTCTGTTACTTAATAAAGCCTATATTTAAATGATTACAACAGATAATAGAGCATAGAAGGCCATAGTAGTGGATGATCCGAAACTTCGCTTCTATTTGTAGCATACAGAAAGCATCAGGTCAATAGTCTAAGATGACTTCTCAGATGAACCTCTCCCCTCCCTACCGCTTTACAAATGAGACACTTTCAGGTTGATTAAAAGGCCGATCACATCAGCAATATGCTTAGAACTAGACTGACTGACAAAAAGATGAGTCAGCTTAAAAAGACAGTTTTATATAGATGCCAAATTTATGCCATTACAGTTTTACTCAGTAAATTTTAATTTACAGTACATTTGCTACTAACCTTCACTTCCACTATTTGTGAAGTTCTGTTGTCCTCTGACTGTTGCCCAGACAACCACAGTGTGCAAAACCTATTACAAAGTACAAACAAAATGCCTGAGTCAGCTTGTGTGTGCAACCATGTGGATGTGCTTCTATAGGTCTATGTCTCTCTGGTTTCCTCCTTTCTAATATAAATACTCAATTTGTTTCTGGATTGCTGTCTCCTTGGGGTGTCAGTGCTCATGCTTGCAGGACGATTACTGTGGGATGGCAAGCAAAGTTTTAAGAGAGAGCAAAACATTAAATCGAACAACTGTAACCAAATTAACTCTTTAGTGATATGTCCCTCTTTTGTGACAACATGTTTTTGGTTAACTGATCTATAAGAAAATGCCAACTCACTTGAGAAGAATTCAAACTGGCTAGACACTAGGGGATGATACAATAAAGCTCCCTGTTTTTTTTTTTTTTTTACTTCCATGTAATGCATCTTCTCCTGATCCCTTGTAAAATACAAAGGTGCATATGCCAGCAAAAACTAATTCTGAAATACTTAGCTCTCCATATGGTAAACCAAATGTAATTGATTTTCACCATTCGTAACTCCCTATCCGCTAGTGTTATGTAAGAAATTGAAAATGCCTTCTCACTACAACAATAACTAGGAAATTTTAATTAAAAATACCAGCAACTTTAATGTGTTCTTTGTTGGCATTTGGTTTTTAATGGGACTTCTCTATTATGTACATTATTACAAAAGGAGAGGGAGTAAACCAAAGAAGCATGAAGATGTCTCTCCTTTTCCTCCTCGTGATGTTTTTCTTTTAGAATTTTAGCCTCCAGGAATTTGAACTCCTAATTGTTAAGTACTGAACTATATATTTCTCCCTTTAGCTTCCTTCTGTCCTGAATAGTTGGATAATTTTATCTCCTACTCAGTATTCAAAGAAATGTAAAACAGAACACCCTCCGCTTTAGTGCCATAGAATGTAATCCTACAGAAAATGTAGTTAAAATGCTTTTAATCAACTGCTAATTGACTGAACTAAGTTTTGCCAGCACTAAAACTAAATCCTAATCTTAACATAGGTATGCATATTAGTCAGGAATCTTTCATTTCCACGGGACATTAACTTATCTCAAATTAGCTTCAGCCTAAATGAGTATTAGTGGGTTTGCATAATCATGAAGAATAAGGATACATTCTGGAAATATTTAAATCAAAGACCTTGATGTCTCCAGGCATTTTACTTTTCTTCTTTTCCTCACATTCTTTTTTCTCTGCATGCGAAATTTCCTTCCTTTCTCTTGCTGAATAGGATGTTCTACTGGTCAACATGCAGAAAAGAGAAGATGGGTAAAACTCTTGATAAAACAGGCAATGCAGTTAACTTCTTCCACTCAAAGTGAGAGAGAGAGATGATAATTAACCTTTGCTGGATTATGTGGCAACTCTGAATCAATCATGGTAGCCACTGGAATAAAGTACTATCATCAGGCCAGCCTAGGTCACTGTATAATAAATAGTATAACAAAGTGAGTGACAGGTTTTTAGAGAAAGTAAATCACAGTGCCATGTAGTAATCATGACAAAGTTAGCACAGAGAATAAATTGCTTAGGGAAAGACACTGCGCAGAAAGACATTTTTGACCTAGTCTAAAATATAAACGGGAGTCTTGTCAAATAAACAGAAAATGGGGAGTGTTCTGAGATAGGGTACCCTCTGCAAAGGCCTGGAGGTGAAAAATCATGGCATATATATATATTTTTTAAATATTTCTTATGATTTACAACACATTGAGAGTGTTGTTTTTATTTTTTTTAGCGATACAATTTGTATAGGAGTGGAAAAGATTTACTTGAAACAATGAACATCAGTGGGACATCACTTACGGTAATGTTACTTAGCTTAATATTTCAATATGCTTCACAATATAATGTCATACAAGTTCTAGCGTTTTACTTAACCCAGTAAACCAGTTTTAGACCTATCACATGCAAATATGAGTGTATTATTTTATATGAGACATGATCTTTCCTTCAAACAGAATGTACAGAAAATGATATTAACATATCATACTAAAATGATTTTTGAAAGTAAACTATTCTTAAAATGTTACTAAATATAATGATAGATATGACTTTAAAAGGAAAATCAGAGAGAAAGAGGCAGATAAGACATGAAAGATATAATCATTCTTGAGAGAGGAAAACATAGTTTGAGATGCAGATTTTTATATAGAGAATCTAAATCTAAAAGTAATTAGAAGGAAAAACTGAAAAGCTTAGAGATGGTTTGCATGTAAGCATGATGCAAAATTCAATTTGCAGCAGTAAATATTACAAACAAGCCAGGCAAAATGAGGCAAGGAGATTTTCTCCCTCAACAAATAAGAAACAAATCAAGCCATATTCCCAGAGGAAATTTCTATTACATCTTCAGTAATTCTGTATACCAAATACCATTTGCTTTTAGATCCACTATAAACCTGATAATTCTATTTGTCCTAGCTGTTATATTTTTCTTTAAATATCCTGAGTGGTTATTATGAAACTTTCCATAAAGACTTTAAGATAAGCTACCAGAAGAATAAGAGAGACTTTAGGGAATGTACATCTTTTTATTTATCTGGTAATATATAATATACCATCTCCAAAATTTCCATAGGAGGCTGCTAAAACATCAAAACCAAATTTGATTGTTACATATTTTGCCTTCTGATTATTTTTGTTGTTGTTTATATTGTTATTTTCCATTGATGTTTATTCTTTAAAATAGATTTTCATGAGCGGCTGAAATGACTGAGTCAATTATGATATTGTTAAATTGCTTTCCAAAAGCATTGTAAAGAATAGTTATGCCATCTTTGGATGTTAAAGCTAAAAAAATTACAAAAATAAAAAGTTACCATTGTGGACTGAATGCTTGTGTTTCCTCCAAATTCATATGTTGAAATCCTAACATCTCATGTGATGGTTTTGAGAGGTGGGACCTTTGGGAAGTGATTAGGTAATAAGGCTGGAGCCATTGTGAATGGGATTATGTCTTTAAAAGAAGACACAAAAGAAAGATGCTCTCTGCTCTCTGCCATGTAAGGAAATGATGAAAAGATGACTATTTGCAAACCAGGGAGCTGACCCTCACCAGACATCAGATCTACCAGCATTGATCTTGGACTTCTCAGCCTCCAGAACTGTGAGAAATACATTTCTGTTGTTGCAACCACCAAGTCATGATATTTTGTTATAGCAGCCAAAACTGGCTAAGACACTTACTAGCCAAGATATTTATTTGAAAAAAAAAAAAGGCAATTGCCTGGTCATATTTAGTTTTTAGGTAGATTGCTTATGGCAATGGGGAGTAGAGAGGTGGATCAGTTATGGGACGAAGTGAAAAAACCACAGGAGGGGGTTGCAAGCATGGCCCCACAGAGAAGTCTTCTTTCTGTAGATGTTCTATAAGGGTTTGCTGAGTGCTGTGCATGCTGAAGACAGTCATCACTGACTTGCAGGGCTTGGGAAGTCTCTCTGTAAGAGGCTTGGATGAGCCTTCATCATTCCAGAAATACTGACTGAACATAAGCTATATAGCAGTAGCTGTGTGAGATGATGGAGACACAAAAGCAAATAACCCTTAGGGGTTGTCCTCAAGTAGCTAAATTTAGTGGAGAACACTGAGATGCAGCCAGTTATTCTTGAAACAACATGTCTTGGATTGGTACAAGCAGGGTTAATTTCCAAAGTTTTGAAAAGGTTTAATTGAACAGTTTTTGCCAGTGCCTTTTTTTTTTCTTTCTTTCTTTTTCTTTTCTGGAGGATCACATTTTCAGAGTTCTTTCTGCTATGCTGGATGTAGAAAATCCAGTTCATTCTTGTATATTTCAAAAACACTAATGACATACATGACATTGACATTAAAAAACAATGTTGTCCTGTATTCTGATTCCATCTTTCTTTGAAGTTCCACAGATCATGACAAAAATGAAATGGAAATGTAGAAGTTCTAAAAGATTATACTCAGCATATACACACTTTTTCCCATAAAGTAAATAATTTGTCAGAAAAAACTCTGAATACATGGTTTATTTCCCAAAAAAGTAAGTAGCTAATATGATGTGATATTACACAATGTAAGGTAAGGAAAGGTTAGGTAAGGTAAAGTAATATAATAATATTTTGTTATTTATCTTGAAAAAGGCAGCATGTGGAGCTTCTGGTGCTCTGATCTGCTGCTTGAGAGTGGCCTGGGGCCTGGATGGGCACATCTGTTTGTGAGGGAACATCTTTCCATGGTCTGGGCTTGAAGTACATGCCTTTGTTCTGTTTAGGCACCTGCATCAGTGGCTCTCAGGCATGCCTCCAGGTTTCTGTATTTCAGGCCCCACGAAGTATGGGTCCGTCCACTGCAGTACAAAGTGGAGAGAGCAGCTACAAGGGTCATGAAGGTAGCTGAATGAACCTGCTGGCCGTGAGGGTGCCCACAGATCACCAGGGACTAGATCCTGTGCAAACTTTCTCTCTCATCTTGCTGTAAGTGAATTCTCTACCACTGGAGGCTGGTGTGCATGTTGTCTGGTTTCAGTGACCTTGAATCATGCTGGGCTTTTCCCTGGTGACACTTACCTGTATTTTAACCTTGGCCGTACTGCCTGGTCACCCAATGAACGGCGAAATTATATATATTTACTTCTTTAAAATAGCTTATAGTGTATTGGACCTGATGTAGTGTACATAAAGTTCCTAGCAGAAGTTCCAATGCATATTAAGAAAATCAATGTGTTAACTAATTTTATTTCCATTATTTCAGACAGAAACATACCTGAGCAGATGCTGCAAAATGTTTAGGAGTAAATATGATATATTAATGCATTAGTGTGGGCTTTTGAGACATTATTAAATTAAAATATCAACTTTAATAATACCTAGATATGCAATCTTTGTGGTTGCTTATTCTCCATTACTTATGTGTAATTGGGCATATATTGGTGATGACCTCATTCATTTATTATGAAGATACATGCAATAATACCCATGAAGTGCCTAATTTGCTTACTTAGTACTTAGTAATCACAAAATTAGTGTTAGCCATTATTATCTACTCTGTTCTAATTCCTTGAGCCTTCTGCATTCTCCCAGTGCTTTCTACTCCTATCATGAAATCTTTTGCTCTGCTAAGAAACGAATCTGTGTCATATGGAATATGAGAAGTACTGGATTATTTTTAAATTTTTTAGAGAGAAGACTCAAATCTGACTTGGAGTTAGACAGCTGAAGTAGTGTATAAATATTCCTTTTCACAAGTGAAGCAAGCATACATAATATTTTGCAATGTGTGCAGGATAGTAAAATACTAAATACTATATTTATAATTAAATTTTAGAATGTGATGGCACATAGTTTCATGATCATTTGATAGAATAATAAGACTACTGGAATAATTAGTCTCTTGTCTCATTGGCTTCTTAAAAGGTATGGTGAGGTTGTTAGATTATGTTCCCATGAAATCAGCTGGCTGCCAATAAGCAACTTTCTGAAGTTTCAGGTGATAATAAATTTTTGTTGTGGAGGGAAGTAAAACAATTTTTGAGCCTTAATAAATTGAAAGTAGAAGAATCTTCCAAATGGTCTTTAAATAAGATAAGAAATTCAAAGCCTGCTGGTGGGTTTATTGTAAAGCATGAATATTTAAGATCAAATCAATATAAAAAGCAAGTATTAACCTGTAGCAATCACAGCACCAGCTTTCCTTCCTTCAGAGAAAGAGAGAAAAGGAATTTTAAATACTTGATGATATGTCAAGCATATTCTTTTAAAATTAATATTGCCACTGTTAGTAGTTGTGATGTTGAGTTTTAATTTTCAAGTTAAAAGAATTTTACTGACTTGGGCTCTTGCCTAATACCTGTAAGATAAATACATCTATATCTAGCCATTTCTCTCTATATATGCAAATAGATAGATATATATGATGATAGATAATCTTTGTAACTATATCTGTCTATCATTTGCATACAGATATTAAGACTGAAATTGAGATTTTTATACAGTTGAAGTTGCCTGTTTTTTTTGTTTTGTTTTGTTTTTTTGAGACAGTCTGACTCTGTCACCCAGGCTGCAGTGCAATGGAATGATCTCAGCTCACTGCAACTTCCACCTCCAGGTTCAAACAATTCTCATGCCTCAGCCTCCTGAGCAGCTGGGATTATAGGCATGTGCCATCACACCTGACTAATTTTTTTTTCTTTTTGCATTTTTAGTAGAGACAAGGTTGCTCCACATTGGCCAGGCTGGTCCCGAACTCCTGGCCGCAAGTGTTCCACCTGTCTCAGCCTCCCAATGTGCTGAGATTATAGGCATGAGCCACTCCACCTGACCCAAAAGTTCAGTCCTAATTTTAATGATTTGTTTTTGTCTAAGTGAAACAAACCTTTCTTCCATGACGATTCGGCCATATGGTTACAGAAAGGGTTGCGTCTTCAATCATCCCCACAAAACTTGCTATATCTGTATGTCAGTATATCTGCATGAATCACATTGTCTAACCTAAATATTAAGGTTCATATATGCTTCTGGATAAGAGCAAAGACTCCTCTTTGTATGACATGCTCCTTCTTTACCTCGTTCTATGAAATAAGAATATTGTTTAATTAATTACCAGAAATATCATCATTGTAAACAATGTGAAGTAATTTATTAGCCTAGTAATACTGATTTTGATTAATTCAGTTCACAAAATCCTAACAATTCTAGAGCCTTGATAAGGTTTGGTTTCATATTGAATTGTAATCCCCATTGCTGGAGGTAGGGCCTGGTGGGAGGTGATTGGATAATGGGGGCGATTTCTCATGGTTTAACGCCACCCCCGCCTTAGTGCTGTTATAAGGATAGTGAGTTCTCATGAGAGGTAGTTGTTTGAAAGTGTGTGGTACCTCTGCCCTCTCTTCCTCCTGCTTGGGCTATGTGAAGTGCTCACTCACCCTTTGCTTCTCTTGTCATTGTAAGTTTCCTGAGGTCTCCCCAGAAGCCAAGCAGATGCTGCCATGCTTCCTGTACAGCCTGCAGAATCATGAGCCAATTAAACCTGTTTTCTTTATAAATTACCCAGGCCCAGGAGTTTCTTTATAGCGATGCATGAATGGACTAATACAAGCATTCAATATGCTTCTGCTTTGAAAATAAAATGAAGTTCAAGTGGAGCTTTGTTAATAGAAATGCTTTGGACTTCACAGAGGTGAACAGCTGTGCATGCCTAGAAGCAGATTGGTGTTCATGTCCTTATAAGTTAAAAAAAAAAAAAAAAAGTCCAGAGGTACAAGCTGAATGCTTTTGTATATTGACTCTTAACTCTCACTTCGCAGAATGAAGACCTTAAATTGTGGATCTCTGCAGATCCACTGCATCAGTTCTTACTTGAATCAACCTTGATTCTCTTATAATAGCTGCAAAAGCTACAATATGCGTTTGTTAAGAATTTGTTTTAGAATCTCGGTTAAATTTGTTTGCTTTATTCTTTTCTGTGAAAAGAATAAATTATCATCACATCCTTTTATCTTGCCTTCCTTTTCCTATAATTTCTTCTTATGTTTTTTTAAAAGGCAAGGAAGCATTAGGATAGTTATTAATTATGACTTTTCCCATGTTTCAAAAAAGGATACCTCTTTATATTAATCACTTCAAAAGAGATCTATGCATGCTCTATAGAGCTTTCAGTCTGTCTCCAGAATCACATACTTAAGTCATAAATCCTACCATCTTAATCTCTGAAGGAAGACAGAATGTATAGGTGTATTACTAAAATTCCTTTTATAGCTGACTTTCCTAGAAATAAATATGGCTGTCTACCCTAAACTTCCATTGCATGTTAATAAGTGTATTCTCTGACTTATCCATTTTAATTTTACAATATACAGTTGACTCCTGAATAATGCGGGGGTTAGGGGAACTGACACCCTGCACAATAAAAAAATCTATATATGACTTTTGACTTCTCAAAAACTTAACTACTAATAATCTACTGTTCACTGGAAGCTTTACCAGTAACATGGACAGCCAATTAACATGTTTCATATGTTTCATGTATTATACACTGTATTCTTACAATAAAGTAAGCTAAAGAATAGAAAATGCTACTGAGAATATCAAAGGAAGAAAAAATATATTTACTGTTTATTAAGTGGAAGTGAATCATCATTAAGGTTTCCATCATAATAGACTTACTGTTCACTAGGCTGAGGTGAATGAGGAAGAGTAGTTGGTCTTATTGTTTCAGGGGTGAAAGAGGTAGAAGAAAATTGGAGTATTAAGTGGACATAGCTTATACCTCAAGGCTCAATTATAGTTGTTTTTGTTGACTGAGAATCTTCCTGTACTTACTGTAGGTTTTATGCAGAAGTCATGGTAGACTTTTATTTGACACTCATTTTTACCAGGCACAACAACTTCAGCACTTCATGAATAAATGATGGATCAGATAAATGATCAACTTTACAATTTGATCTAGCACAATCAATTTATCTAGTACAAATTTAAAATTTGATCTAATACATTTACAATTCATCTATTATAAAGATGAAGCTTCAGAATTATATAACATACAGATCTTGCTAATTCATTTCCCTTTTATTAGAGTAATTGGGAATTTAGATTATAATTGATTTCAAAGATCTGTATTCTCCAGAGTGATCATTTCACTTGCCAATATTTCAAATAGGGCAGTCCTTTTGTTTTATTGTCATTTATACACGTAGACAATTGGAGGAATTTATGAAGGTTAATCAACATTACTGTTCATGTTAACATAATCCAAGATTCTTGGTTTCTTCAATTCTCACAGTAAGTATCACCATCTGGCTTTTTCATCAATTAGGTGCTCTCCTCAGACGTGTTGCTGGAACAATAGAAAGGAGTCTGATTGTGGAAAATATGCTTTTACTCATTCTCTGTGAACTGAGCCTGTTCAACATTGGAAGGTAAGTAGATATCTATATTAATTGAATAATAATTTTATATTACTTATGAAAATCTGAACTTCCAAAGACATCCATTTATACTTTCCCTAATCTTAGAGCATCATAACACATGCTAAAATCATAAATATTTTCTCTTTAATGTGACATGACAGGAATAATTGCAAAAATGCTTAAACTATTCACTGTCCTTTTAAATTATAACTTGACTGATTTTCTGAAAGACCCAGATAAAACAACTACATCAAGTTTAAAGGTATAATACTTTACTGATTAAGTAATGTAACAACAAGACATTGAGAAACCTAAGTATGAATTGAGAATTTATTATTTATTATGATTGATGCTAGAAAATGTATTCTATGCTTTCAGGCATATAACTCAAAATTTAAATTGTTTGCCTCCTGATATGGAATACTATTTATATCAATTTAATATTGTGAGTGTTCATTTTGTTGATTTTGATAAAAACTGTTTTCTAATGATGGCATTTAAAATATTCTGCTTATTTTACATCAATTACCTTAATTACTGGCTTAATTATTGAAAAATTATTTTTAAAAAATTTTAAAATGAAATTTTGGGCTAGAAATTACTTCTGTAAAATTCTATAGAAAGTTTTAATTTAGAAAATGACTTTGTGAGATGTAAAAAATATTATTTTGATTCTATAACCTCAAATTAATTATCTGCATGCTTTTTTTAGAGCATAAGTACTTTTCATTCAAAATGTTAAAACTTTAAATATCTGTTTTCCAGAGTATTGATACATTGAAAATACACTGGAAAGAAATAAGTAAAAATGATTTTATATAATTATATATTTGAGGAGACTTTAAACATATATGTTACATAACACACTTATAATATGGCATTTTCTATCTAAATCACATTCACTTAACTGTTAGCTGACAGGCCAAAAGGTTATAGTTAAATTCATTACTTATACTGTGTGGGGTAGTACTTGGTCTCAGGTAAATAAAAATGAATGAAGCATGAATGCTGGTCTCAAGGTTTTCACAGGCTGTAGTAGTAAGTGCATAGCTGAACTTTATATTATGTTTTTGGCTATTATCAAAGGCCTAATTAAGAAATGTTCAGATAAGACTATTTACATTTTTTTCTAGAAATTTGTCTTAAGAATTGTTACTCATTTTTTTAGTTTATATTATTTATAGTACAAAATCTTGTTAGACTTTATCATCTAGAAAATTGCAATCTTCTAATTATATTGTTTGTTACCCCCTGTTTTATGCTTAGACCTATGTTTTGTTTCCATGTGTTCTGTGGCTTCAAGGGATTTTAAAAGTAATCCTGAGATTCAATTCGTAAATGAATTAGCTTGTTTTTCTAAATCAGTATATCATTTTATTTCTTTAATTTTCTTGTTCCAGTGTCTTAATTTGAGCTTCTGCCAGAAATCCTTTTGGGAAGCAAATAAATAAATATATAGCATGTGATAGTTCAGTTAGATACACACAGCTACCTTACTTTACTTC
The DNA here is from genome assembly GCF_000001405.40 of Homo sapiens. Taxonomy (NCBI): domain Eukaryota; kingdom Metazoa; phylum Chordata; class Mammalia; order Primates; family Hominidae; genus Homo; species Homo sapiens. The sequence continues at coordinate 91,424 of NW_003315915.1, read as the reverse complement.
AGTGTTATACAATGGAAAAATCTGGCTAGAATCAAAAGCACCAACAAATTAGAGATTCTCAGAAAGCACAGAAAAAAAAACTCATACATTCATATTTAGTAAGGACTTACAATATTGCAGGTACAGATAAATATGGCATAATCTCTTATCTCTACGGGCTATTAGCCAAATAAGAGAGAAAGAAGAATGGTTTAAGAGAGAATATTATTGAGACAAGGTATCTATATAAGAATAGAGAGGAAAGGCCTCCCTGAGGAGTTGCTGCCTCTGCTGCACTGTGAATAATAATAGAAGTTAGCTTCATGAGGATGAATAGAAACAGTGTCTTAAGAAGTAAAAATAATATTTCCAAGGTAAGGAATCCTTGGGGAAAAAAAGTGGTAAATAAAGTGCTTCCGAATAATTAAACCAAAATTAGCATTTTTAGAAAGGACAGTGTCTGAAGAGATAAATTTAAATAAAGAATTATGTACATATATGGAAGACCAAGCCAAATGTCACAGTACCAGAAAGTAACATTTGAGAGGGGAAACACTAACCCTCATATTGCACACCTGCATGCATTTCTTGACCCCCAAAACCTTTGTCTAAGTAGCATCTTGCAAAAATGTAAATTATGGCATTACATTTATGAGTTGCTCCTTACCGAAAATTTTCCTGTTCAGAGAGCTTTTCAGTAACTCACCTGATGTTCACTTAGTTGTAACAGAAGTTGTTATGAATAAAATCACAAATATCTGGATCTCTTATACTCTGAGACTTGCTGTTTCTATTTTACAATAATGATGCTATATTGAAAGCAACTTTAAAACCTCAGTGTCTTTCAACAACAAACCTTTATTTCTTGCTCATGATCTGTAGGTCAGTGGCAGTGTTTTTGCCAGACCATGTGGGACATGGGCTGTTCTCATGGTGAATCACAGGCCTTTAAGAGTTCAAGGCGGCCGGGTGCAGTGGCTCACGCCTGTAATCTCAGCAATTTTAAGGCCGAGGGGGGAGGATCACAAGGTCAGGAGATCGAGACCATCCTGGCTAACACGGTGAAACCCCGTCTCCACTAAAAATACAAAAAAAAAAAATTAGCTGGGCGTGGTGGCGGGCGCCTGTAGTCCCAGCTACTCAGGAGGCTGAGGCAGGAGAATGGCATGGCGTGAACCCGGGAGGCGGAGCTTGCAGTGAGCTGAGATTGCGCCACTGCACTCCAGCCTGGGCAACAGACAGAGCGAGACTCCATCTCAAAAAAAAAAAAAAAAGAAAAAAAAGAAAAAAAAAGACTTCAAGGCAACCCCCAAGCATATGTAAATTCTCTGTTTGAACATGAGATATGTCACTTCCATGACATTCATTTAGCCAAAGCAAGCTGTGTGTCGAACATTGACAGGGATAGGAATTACATCCTTCCACAAAGCAAAACAATGGCAGTATAAATATTTGCTGAAAAATATCGAACATTGACAGGGATAGGAATTACATCCTTCCACAAAGCAAAACAATGGCAGTATAAATATTTGCTGAAAAATAATAGGTTGTATCTAAATGACTTTGAATTTAAAAATCTGTAAATTCCAAGAAAACAATAACATGCAGCTAGAGGATACCGAATTGCATACAGGCTGTTCACATACAATGTAAGGTAAAAAGACAATTCAGAAGTATGTTGGAAAATGACAGATCAACTAAAATTCCTAGGTGTTGAAATGAACACCTAGATTCCAATTTCTGTTTCTTGGAAGAAGGTGCTTATAGATAAGCCATAAAGAGAAAAATATTAAACTGTGGTGTATTAGACTGTCCAGAAACCACTCCAAAATAAATATGGAGAAACAGAGCACTGAGAGGAAATGGATAGAAACATGAGGAGATAGAAAGAAGGCACCGTATGTCCAAGCCAGGAAGACACCCTCACTGGAATTAGGGCTCCTTCATCTGCTTTGAAACTGATTTTGTACCTCATTGGGAGGCAAAGCCTTTCTAGTGAGTAGTAAAAGCAGATATTGCTCAAACACTCCTCTGAATCTTTAGAGGAAAGTGCTGGCTGATTGTTGAATAATAGAGGAATATACAGGTTTATATAAAAGTTTTCCAGAGAACCAGAATCAATAGAATGTATACAGATATATAAAAGGGAATTTATTATTGGAATTGGCTCATGCAATTATGGATGCTGTAAAGTCCTACGATGTGCTTTTTGCAAACTGAGAATCAAGAAAGCTGGTGTTATAATTCTGTCTGAGTCTTAAGGCCTGAGAACCAGGGGAGTCAATAGTGTAACTCTTAGTCCCAGGCTGAAGGTCTAAGAACCAGGAACTCCAAAGTTCAAGGGCAGGCGAAGATGAATGTGACAGCTCAAGAAAAGGGCAAATGTGCCCTTCCTCTGCCTTTTTGTTCCGTGTGGGCCCTCAGTGAATTCGAGGATGGACAATCTCATTAGTGGGAGAGGATCTTCTTTCATAATCTCCTGATTTAAATGCTGATCTTTTTCAGAAACATCTTTAAAGACACACCCAGAAATAATGATTTAGCAGCTATCTGGGCATCCCTTAACCCTGTCAAGTCGACACATAAAATTAACCATCACAATGTTAGTCAATTCTAATTTGATAATTACAAATTTGTCCCTTATATTGATTGAGTAACTATCTCCACTTCACTAGTTAGAATAAACTAAAATTTCTGCTGGAATGATATATATGTATATATACATATACATATTTGTATACAACTGTTTTCATTTTCCAGACATTTAAAAAACTACTTTGTTGAGGTATGAGTGACAAACAGAAAGCTGTACATATTCAATGTATATACCTGGATGAGTATATGGATAAGTGTGCAACTGAGAGATCATCATCACTATCACTCAAAGTCCAGATATATTTTTCAAATGGATACTATTTGTAGCCAAATATATCCATGTACCTTTAATAGTAATAACATTTGTGAATAATTAAGAATATTTTCTAAAGTATTTCCTGAAGAATCCAAAAAGAAAATTTGTCACTAGTTTTAATCAGCAATTCCATAGACAGCATTACAACACCATAATATATATTGATTAATGAACAAGTGTAGAGTTGTAAGTATCTTGCCAGCAATTACATAGATGAAGTTATTTTACCCATGCTGAAATGTGTGAACAATTTGACTATAACTTTCATAATATATCTTTTGAATTACTAGTTAAGGGACCATAATAAGAGCTCTTATGTAGAATACTTGTTCTACTAAATTTCTAGGTGTTTATCCTTCTGTAAGGCATTTTAAGCCCTGTAAACCTGTTTCTCTATTTGTGAAATAGCCAAAATGTTAGCAATTGGCTACGTAAGGTTCTTAGAAAAATTAACTGTGACAGCCTATGGCAAGTGCTTACCAAAAAGCTTAGCAAATAATTGTTTAAAATAATGTTGATGGTAAAAGTAAATAATATAGTTTGACTATGTGTCCCCACCCAAATCTCATCTCCACCATGGTAAGATGTGCTTGCTTCCCTTTCACATTCCTCCATGATCATAAGTTTCCTGAGGTCTCATAGTCATGCTTCCTGTTAAGCCTGCAGACCTGTGAGTCAGTTAAAACTCTTTTCTTCATAAATGACCCAGTCTCAGGTAAAAAATGTATATAGCACTGTGAGAACAGACTAATACAGTAAACAAAAAATATCTTTTGAAAGCAGTTGATCTGCAAAGGTGGCATAGGCATTTTAAAAAGGGTATTTCCTAAATGTCCTGAAGCAAATCTTTATGCACAGTCTCTACTTCTATAATTTCGCAGCAGTCTATTGTTTCACCTGGATTTTTTTCTCTCATAACTTTCTGTAATAAAATACTGTTTTATCAGTTTCTATACACTTGTCTTTTAGTATCTTCAACTATATTTGTAACATCATTTTTTAAATATTTATGATGGGTATTTCTTTTTCTATCTGGCTTTATTGAAGTAGAATTAACCCCCAAAAAGTATATACTTAAGGTGTACAACTTGATATTTTGATATACATTGTGAAATAATTACCACAATTGAGCTCTTTAAAATATCTATCATCTCACATCTTTATTATTTTTTCCTTTATTTTCATTTTTGTTTGTTTTTTAGTGAGAACATTTGAGATGTATACTCTTAGCAAATTTCAAGTATATAATGGTGTTGTTAACTATAGTCACATTGCTGTGCATTAGATCCCCAGAAATTATGCATCTTGCATAACTGAAACTTTGTAGCCCTTGGCCAACATCTTCCCATTTCTCCCTCCCATAAAGACTCTGGCAACCACTATTCTACTCTTTGCTTATGTGAATTTAACTATTTTGGATTCCACATATAAATGAAATCATATAGTGTTTGTCTTTCTGTGTTTGGCTTATTTCACTTATTGTCACAAATGCCAGGATTTTGTAAATTTTTAAGGCTAAAAACTATCTTATTATGAAAAATATATATATATATACAGTCATTTGCCGCATAATGACATTTCTGCCAATGACAGTCCCCATATATGACAGTGGTCACGTAAGATTAAAATACCATATTTATACTGTATCCTTTCTATGTTTATATATGTTTAGGTACACAAATAGCATTGCGTTACAGTTGCTTACAATATTCAGTACAGTAACATGTCAAACAGCTTTTTAGCCTAGAAGTAATAGGTTCAACCATATAGCCTATGTACGTAGTAGGCTATACCATCTAGATTATTTAAGTATGCTCTATGGTGTTTGTACAACAAAATTTCCTAATGATGCATTTCTCAGAACGTATCCTTGTTGTTAAGCAACATGTGACTATCTTATTATTAGAATTAGTAGTTGGTGTAACCACTATCATCATCATCATTACTGGTTAATTTGGGTTTAAATTTTTTAATTAATTTTGACTTTTTGTAGGAAATTTTAAATTTTGCAAAAATATTTCAGTGCATTCGTAAACGACTTTTTTTCTGAAAATATTTTTATTTTTATGTATGTTAATAATATATCATTTTCATCTCTAACTTATAATTTGGCCTACTCATCTTTTTAAAATTCTGTAAACTTTTTTTTTTAGTTTCCAACATAAAACACTTAAAGTTACAGTGGCTGAGGGAGAGAGCAGTTACTTTCTTTTCAACATAGACTTTTGGTGGTGAGCACTCCACTACTGGCAATGGAGACTATATCACCACAAACGGCTAACTCCCTATATGTAATGACACCATCATTCTCTACATTTGAGGCAAAAGGAATCCTTAAGCCCTAAACATAATATCCACTTTTCCAACAGCAAGATAAAGTTTTGAACCTTCTCGTTAAAGCCATTTCCTGAAAGTTATACATACCCTGCCTTATCTTACCATCCAACCACAGCTGTTAGAGAGGTCAGGACAGACAATCCCTGTTGAAGTGGGAAGGTAATGCACTCAGCTAAAAATAATTGCTCTATTATTAAAGAAGAATGGAGAGTGTAAACAACTAGATGATATAGGAGTTAAGAAGGAATTACTTAGGCAGACAGCAAGGGCATGGGAATACTTGGTAAGGCCTTTCTTTTTAATGAAAAATAGCTCCAAATCATTTTTTAGCAAAGAGCAGCCTGCAAGCTGGGAGCTTGCATGAGTGAATGCTGGCAGGAACCAAGGACTAGACGTTTTCAAGATGGCGGCTCCATCTTCCCTTCTCTTTGTTAGCCAAGTGTACAGTAAGAAGCAGACAAGATGGCACCAATCAACTGGAAAGTCCACTTGCATAATAAGATTAGGGCAGGACAACCAGCCTTCCCCAAGCACTATGTAGACTTCATGCCTGATGGAACAAATCTGTGAGCCCTGTGTAATCAGATACTGCCTTATCCAGCTTGCCTTTAAAATCTGCAGAGATTCACAGCCTCCCACTTTTTCAGAGGTTTCTCTCTCATGCAAGGAGCTTCTCTCTTCTCTCATTTCTTCTATTAAACTTTCCACTCCTTAACCCACCCACATGTGTCTCTGTCCTGAATTCTTTCTCAACCATGAGAAAGAACCAGGGTATATACCCCAGACAGTGTAGCCGCTTCATAGAGAGTAAACAACAACTAGCTAGTTTTTTGGGAACAACTAGCAGTTTTTTCCAAAGTCACCTGCAAAGTTCGTTTATGCATTGTTACATTTTCTATGTTCTAGCTGATTAATTTATTAATCTTTATTATTCTATTTCTTCATTTTCTTTAAGAGATGTTGGACCTCTCAGCTGAAACCCTATAAGCCAGAAGAGACTGGAGGATCTATATTCAATGTTTTTAAAGAAAAAGATTTTCCAAGATTTTTTATATCAAGCCAAACTAAGCTTCCTAAGCAAAGGATAAATAAGATTATTTTCAAATAAGCAAATGTTGGGGGAGTTCGTTACCACCAGATCTGCCTTACAAGAGATCTTTAAAGGAGTACTAAATATAGAAAGAAAAACCATTATCAGCTAATACGAAAGCACATTTAAATACACAGACCAGTCACACTATAAAGCAACCACACAAACAAGCCAGCATAATAACCAGCTAACAACACAATGACAGTATCAAATCCACACACATCAATATGGACTTTGAATGTAAATGAAATGAAGTCCCCAGTAAAACTACACAGAATAGCAAGCTGGATAAAATAGCAAGACCCAAAAGTACTCTGCCTGTAATTCAGGCTCTTTGGGAGGCCAAGGTGAGAGGATTGCTTGAGGTCAGGAGTTCAAGACCAGCTGGGCAACATAGTGAGTGAGACCCTGTCTCTACAAAAATAAAAAATAAAATTAGCTGGGTATAGTGGCATGCACTGGTTGTAGCAGCTACCTGGAAGGCCAAGGCAGGAAGATTGCTTGAACCCAGGAGCTTGAGCCTGCAGTGACCCATATCACGCCATTGCACTCCAGCCTGCGACACAGTGTAAGAACCTGTCTCTTAAAAAAATAAAGAAAAAAACAACACAACATACATTCTCCTCATTACCTCATGGCACACACTCTAAAATTGACTACATAATTGGATATAAAACAATCCTTAGAAAATACAAAAAAAAACCCCACAAAATCATATCAGACACACTCTTGGACCACAGCTCAATAAAATAGAAGTCAAGACTAAGAAAATTGCTTAAAACCATGCAATTACGAGGAAATTAAACACACTCATGATTGACTTTTTGGTAAATAATGAAATTAAGGCAGAAATCAAGAATTTTTTTAATCTAATGAGAACAAAGATATAACACACCAGAAACTCTCAGAGGCAGCTAAGGCAGTGTTAAGGGGGAAACTCATAACACTAAATACCCACATTAAAAAGCTAGAAAGATGTCAAATTAACAACCTAACATCACAACAGAAAGAATTAGAGAAGCAAGAACAAATCAACCCCAAAACTAGCAGAAGACAAAAAATAACCAAAATCAGAGCTGAGCTGAAAGAATTGAGACACAAAAATCCATTCAAAAGATCAATGAATCAAGGAGTTGTTTTTTTGAAAAAAGTAATAAGCGAAACAGGCCACTAGCTAGAATAATAATAAGGAAAAGAGAGAATAGCCAAATAAATACAATTAGAAATGAAGGAGATAATACCATTGATCCCACAAAAATTAAAATAACCATCAGAAGCTACTGCAAACGCGTCTACAAATACACCTCTATGCACACAAACTAGAAAACTTAAAAGAGATGAATCAATTCCTGGATGCATACACTGTTCCAAAACTGAACCAGGAAAAAAATAATTCACTGAACAGATTAATAATAGGTTCTCTTTTAAATTATAATGTTGGCTTTTAAGTTTTTTCTTTTTAAAGTTTTTATAACAAATCAATTAGGACTAGGCTTTACTCTGGTATAGAGTTTTTCTTTTCATGTGTACTATTTTATTTTATTTTTATTTAAAATAGGTAAGTACCTTAAATACTTCCATAAATGCAAATATTTCTTTTTTTTTCTTTTTTTTTTTTTTTTTTTTGAGACGGAGTCTTACTCTGTCGCCCAGGCTGGAATGCAAATATTTCTTAGGGTAATAGGCTAGTTCTAGTGAGTTACTAAGTAAAATTTTAGTTGTAAGGAGTGGGACAAAGTAAGGAAAGGAGCACAGGGTTGCATATAAGCTCCCCACCACAGCACTGTTCACATACACTTGTTACCCAGCACATAGCTTCTTCTTTGAATGCATGAAACATTTTATAATATGATAATAAAAAATAATGAGCCATAAAACTGTCTAGAATGACATCTTTATATTTCTGTCTGTGATCTATCTATCTATCTATCTATTATCTATCATCTGTTATGGGTTGAATTGTGTGCCCCAAAAAATTATGTTGAAGTCCCAACTCTCAACACTTAAAATGTGATAGTAATTGGAAATAGGATTATTGCAAATGTAAATAGTTAAGATGAGGTCCTATTGGTGTCAGGTGGGACCTTACTCCAATAAGGACATCAGTCGTTATTCTTACAAAAAGAGAGATACATAGAGAGAGCACTGTGTGACAACAGAAGCAGAGATTGAAGTAACACATCTGAAAGCCAAGGAATACCGAAGATTGATGGCCACCAACAGAAGCTAGGAAGAAGCAAGAACAAATTCTACCTGGAGTCTTGGAGGAAGCATGACCCTACTGACATCTTGATTTCAGACTTCTAACTTCTAGAACTGAAACAGAATAAATTTTTGTTGTTTTAAAGCTACCTAGTCTGGAGTTCTTTCTATAGCAGCTCTAGGAAACTAATTACCTCCATCTGTATATGCACCTTTTCATATATCTATTTATAATCATCATTATCTCTACATCTGGACACATAAATCAGTTTGCCTAGGAGCAGATTTTGACAAGAAGTTTAATCTGAAGGTAACTTCTTAGGAAGTGTTCCTGGAAAACAACAAAACTCTGGGAAACTAGGACAGGAATAGAAGTAGTACAAATAAAGGACAATATCAAGCAGTGTCTTTCAGTAGGTAAAGTTGCCCCAATCCCAGAGAGGAAACTTAGTAGCTCACAGCCAGAATCAAGGGGAGTGTTTGTACCACTTCAATTGGTTAGTCATTTTTTAAGGCCTGTGGTGGGAGAGAGAAGGGTGATCACAAATTCCCAGGAAATGTTATCTCTCTACAAAAGTCCAAAGGGTGTTCTATCAGACTCAGGCCAACCTCCAACAAAGAGAAACAGATGCTAGTTGTTGGGAGTGAAAACACGGAGTCAAGTGTGACTAAAATGATGAAAGTAGCTGAGAGGCACTGCTAGAGCAGAGCACTGACAGTAAATACAATAGATATTTAGGTAATTTCTAAAAATGATCACAATGCTTCTTTCAAAATGATTCTTTATATTTCTCCAAATGACTGATCATTTACATTTATCCAAATTTAAGCCCATTGCTGATTTTCAAGAATAAATGTGAATTGCTTTTGTTCTTAATTAAAAACTATTTTCTAGGAAAAAGATTATAAAGTATTATAGATGCTCTTCTATCCTGACTTACTATGAGTCTACTTTACCATGAAATTCAGCCTTTGAATTATTATGAGTGAACCAGTTTGGTGCCTACAACTTAACATTATGATCACAGAAAAAAGAATAAAAGACTCTCACAATAAAAAGTAATCTTTGTGGCATTACTCTTTTAACACACTTTAAAGGTATATCCTCCAGTATGATTTGCTAAAGCTGACTCTCTAGAAATATCTCTCCTAGAATCTCTAGAATCTCTAAAACATCTCTTCTTTAAAATCCACTTTCTCTAAATGGGGTGTTATTTGGTGATTCTATGCTAATTACTAGAAGAAAACTAGAACCAACATAAATACATCTAACAAAAGTGCCCTTCACTAATTTGCATATGATAATGTGAAGAGTGTTCTTGAAGACATTAATATATATGTGTCACTATAGCATATACACATATTTTTCTTTAGTTGTAAACAATAAGATGACTGTCTTTCTAAAAATTTTACTATTTCACCTTTTCTCCTGTTGCAGTGCAACAGACATGTATGAGTGAAAGAAAAAGCATGACATAATAGATGCCAACCATATGTCTCACAAGTACTCAGTGAGAATAAATCTTGTTAAGTCAGCAAACCTTTCTCAGGTGACATTCACAAATTTAAAATTTGATCTTCAGCCATTTTTTAAAAAAAATCCTTGAAACAACCACTAAAACCTTTTCTTTTGAAATCTTACTAAATTAAATATAATTTAACATCTACTTTAGATCATCTATGTGTTTCTTCATTTTTAAAGGATGAAATAAGCAATTAAGCATTTCAATTCAATTTCTCTTCTTCTAAGTTAAACTAAGATAGTGTTCAACTAGATTTTAGCTGGGCAAATATTCTTCCACAAGGAATAGATTAATTCCATAAGTTCAAAAAATCTGATTAGGCTTACAAGCGTGCAACAAAATATAGAAACATTATACCTTTCTTTTGTGTGGGAAAACTCAAGTTGTAAATGTGAAGAACAGATATAATTGTAAGGAGGCAGAATAAGGACATGTTAGTAATACATGTATAATTCATTATACATGAATTTATTATATAAAAATTATATATAAAATTTAAGTTTGTATGCATAAAAATGGAAATTCCTAAAGCAAATATTAGACTTGTCATGTGACAAAAATTTACATGAGTTGTTAGCTAATTTGAAATAATGTTGACGCTTACAAAAAATGAGCCACAAACACATGAAAATTCACACCTAGAGAAGATAAAAGCATTTAGAATGACTAAATTTTTGGTTTATTGGTATCTTTTGCTTCACGCTGAGTTCTTTGTAAACTTTATCAGCAGAAGTCTGTATGTATGGCTTTGTTATATCAAGTGATTTTGAAGGGGAAGAATATTTCTGGTGATTTTCCAGTGACAATCATTTTTAAAAGGTGATTTAATGTGACAGAACTGATTTTTGATATATACAAATTACTTATGCTACATCCTAAAAGGAACTCATTTCTTAAATAATCAGGTAATAATTAATTTTCCTTTGAGAATTGAGAACTAAAAAAAGACCTAGAGATCATATGAAAATGCCTAAAAATGGGCCTCTATCCACCAGTTACTTGTAAAATTGTGAAATTGATTCATCTTGCTTATATGCATAAATGATGTATGTCCTCCTTGGTGTGCACCCGTGTTAATTGACATGGATCTATGATAATGTCCCTGGATTTAAAAAAAAAAAAAACAGCAAAAAAAACAAGGATTTTCCAAAATGTAAATTGCCATTGAATCACTTTTGTATTAATGAGTTTACAATTAGTCTACTTTAACTTTGTTTCTTTTCTGTATAGTTTCTTCAAAGAATGGTGTCAGTAATGTCTAATCTATAATTTAGATTGTAATGCTTCTTCAGTTGCTACAAACTTTAAGTGGAAAGTAAAATTTACAAAGTAGAAAGGTAAACTTCAAGATAATAAAATTATGCAAAATCTCACAACAGCCTGTGAAGCATAAGTATTTATAGAACAGGTTATCTTGACCTGTGTTTTTTTTTAATCTCTCCTTGATTTCTTTCAATTATCTGATAAAATAATATATACTATATAAGTCCATATTATATTGATTAGTTTTATTCTGAAATTTCATTAATGAGAAGTTTTCTTTGAACACAGTTGAGGCAATATATTTTAATGTATCATTTTCTTTTAGAAACCCTTCAAATTCAAATAATTACAAAGTAGTCATATTGGTCATATATCAAAAATTTAAAATATTTTTACTAATGTCAATTATCCTTTGCACAGATAGACTCAGAGGCACAATTTTTTTTTTAAAAAATTGAAATCATAAAATAACAGAGGTAAAATACATGTCAAATTGTAGAATATTTTTCTCTGTAGATAAAAAGATATCCCATTGAGGAAAACTGTGAGTCTAAGAATTAAATGTATTTATTCAAATGCCTTGAATATAAATATTTTACCGTATATAATAATTTTCTATTTTCTCTCAAATAAAATGGTTCTTTTTAATTTTAATATTCATATAATATTAATAATTTTAATTTTGCTGACTCTATGTGCAGATGCCATAAATCAGATTCAGAGGCATTTATATTCAAAAGAAAATTTTATTTTGAGACACAAATAAAATTTATTGCACAAGTAAATAGGCCAGTAGTCACATTATGTCAGAAATAATGAAGACTATGGATTACATGTTTTTTCTACCTCAGGATTAGAAAAATATTCACAAAAGTCTTATGAAACCCATACTAATTCTTAGAGTTGATGAAATTTCCAAAGCAAATTGTACTTAACTGCTGTATCTAAGATAAATGATATGCAATCATTCCACAACTGTAGATCATTTATTTAAATATAAGTTTCCTGATATTAGGTAAGTAGAGAAGAATAAAAAGGTTCATTATTGATCGTTAAATAAAAATATTAAATAATTACTATAATAAAATATTCTAGAAGGTATTGAAGGATAGTAACAATTGGACTTCTATTATTGGTAAGGGTTGCAATCCCTTCTGCTACATCAGCACATTCAATATTAGGCTGTAGAATGTTTATATATTATTTATTTATTATTTTATTATTTAAAATAATTCTACAGGAAGTCCAAGCCAGAGCAATCAGGTAAGAGAATAAAACAAAGAGCATCCAAATTAGAAAAGAGCAAGTCAAACTATCGCTGTTCGCCAATGATACAATCATATACCTAGAAAATTTTAAAGACTCCTCTAAAAGACTTCTAGATTTGATAAATAAATTCAGTAAAGTTTCAGTTTCAGGTTACAAAATTAATGTACCCAAATCTATAGCATTGCTCTGCATCAACAATGATCAATGAGAATCAAATCAAGAACTCAATCCCTAGGGCCAGGCACCATGGCTCAAGCCTGTAATCTCAGCACTTTTGCAGGCTGAGACAGGTAGATCACTTGAGGTCAGCGGTTTGAGACCAGCCTGGCCAACAAGGTGAAACTCCCTCTCTATCAAAAAATACAAAAATTAGCCAGGTGTGGTGATGTGTGCCTGTAGTCCCAGCTACTCAGGACGTTGAGAAATGAAAATGCCTTGAACCCGGAAAGCGGAGGTTGCAGTGAGTCAAGTTCACAAGATTGCACTACTGCACTCCAGGCTGGGTGACAAAGTAAGACCCTGTCCCCCGCCCCACTCCCCGCAAAAAAACAACTCAATCTCTTGTACATTTACAACCTTTTATAACAGCTAAAAATAAAGCAAACTCAAACAAACAAACAAAATCCTAGGAATATACTTTACCAAGGAGGTGAAAAATTTCTTCAAGGAAAACTACAAAGCACTGCTGAAAAAAAGTCATAGATGACACAAACAAATGGAAATACTTCCCATACTCATGGATTGGAAGAATCAATGACCATACTGCCCAAAGCAATCTATAGATTCAATGCAATTCCTATCAAAATACCACATGATTTTTCACATAATTTGAAAAAAAAAAAAAAGCTAAAATTTATTTAGAACCAAACAGGGCCCAAATAGCCAAAGCAATCCTAAGCAAAAAGAAGAATCCTAAGCAAAAAGACCTCCACAATAATGTGGAGGTTTCATATTACTGAACTTCAAATTATACTACAAGGCTATAGTTACCCAAACAGCATGGTACTATTATAAAAGAAGACACATAGACCAATGGAACAGAATAAAGAACTCAGAAATAAAATCAAATACTTAGAGACAACTGATCTTTGACAAAGCATCCAAAACATAAATTAGGGAAAGGACATCGTATTTAACAAATGATGCTGGGAAAACTGGCAAGCCACATATAGAGGAATGAAGCTAGATTCCAATATCTCACCTTATACAAAAATCAACTCAAGATGCATCAAAGACTTAAATGTATTACCTGAAACCACAAAAATTCTAGAAGATAACCTAGGAAAACCTCTTCTGGACATTGGCATAGGGAAAGAGTTTGTAAGACCCCAAAAGCAAATCCAACTAAAACAAAAATAAATGTATGAGACTTCATTAAATTAAAAAGCTTTGGCATAGCAAAAGAAATAATCATCAGACTAAACAGAAAACCCACAGAATAGGAAAAAAAAATTGCAAACTATGCAACTGGCAAAGGATTAATATCCAGAATCTACAGGGAACTCCAACAAATCAGAAAGGAAAAAACAAATAATTCCACAAAATAGTGGACAAATGACATAAATAGACAATTTTCAAAAGAAGATATACAAATGGCCAACAAACATATAAAAAAATGCTTAACATCACTAATCATCAGGGAAATGCAAATTAAAACTACAGTGAGATCCACCTACTCCTGCAAGAGTGGCCGTTATTAAAAAGTCAGAAAACAGTAGATGTTGGCATGGATGTGCTGAAAATGCTACACTTACACACAAGAGGTCGGAATGTAAATTAGTACAACCTCTATGAAAAACAGTACAGAGATTTCTTAAAGAACTAAAAGTAGATTTACCTTTCAATCCAGCAATCTTACTGCTGGGTATCACTGTTAAATATATCAAAAACACACCAGCATGTGTATGATTATTGCAGCACAATTCACAATTGCAAAGATGTGGAACCAAACTAAGTGCCTGTTGACCAATGAGTGTATAAAAAAATGTGGTATATATACACTATGCAACACTATTCAGCCATAAAATAGAACGAAATAATGTCTCTTAGAGCAACTTGGATGGAGGCGGAGGCCATTATTGTAAGTGAAGCAACTCAGAAATAAAAAAAAAAAATTACTGCATGTATTCACTTACAAGTGGGAACTAAGCTATAAGTATCCAAAGGCATACGCAGTGATATAATGGAATCTGGAGATTCAGAAAGGGGAGAGTAAAAGGGGGCTAGGGAAAAAAGCCGCATGTTGAATGGAATGCATACTACTAAGGTGACAGATGCACTAAAATTTCATACTTCACCACTGTGCAATTCATCTACATAACCAAAAACCACTTATGCCCCAAAAGCTATTGAAATTGAAAAAATAAATAAAAAATAATAAATAGTAAAAATAAAATAAAGTAAAATAATTCTCTAAATTACAAAACTTGCCAGTATATCATTAATCCCAAACTATGCAACTATTACTTCAACTAAATACTTTAGCTTTCACAAATGTCTAGAATAAAAAGACAATGAAATTTGGATACATTTTTAAAGTTCCATTTAAATATAAGTCTTTTGAGTCTGTGTTAAAACAGAGTAGAGGGTTTTAATGGTTTAAATAATGAAGAGCCTGGAGCACCTACTGACATTTTGCACAAATCAGAGGAACCTAAAAAGCCTGTGAAATACTGTGAAAAAGGTTACTACAGAATATAACAATTTATATTTCCGGATTGAAAAACAGTTTACTTACTGCAACCAAAAACAGTTGCTTATCTATATCATGTAAATGTCTGATAATTATGCTCAAAACCTGTACTGTTAAAAGTTGAAAGTGTTAAACTTTTACATTTCTTACCAAAATACATTTTATATTCTGTTAAAGCCCGTGTTTGAATTAAAAACTAATAATAATTAGAATCATAAATTAGGGAAAATATATAAATAAGTTTCATACAATGAAGCAATGAAATTCGGAAATAAAGTTAGAAAATATTTTATTAATTAAATTTAATAAAACAGCAAAAAAATTCAGAACTTTAAAAAAATCTGCTCTGTAGTTAGAAATAATTGAGCATTTTCAAATTTGAAATTTTTAAATAATTGTAATAAAATAATAATATTGATATAGCCACACCATTGTACTCTACTTTTATGCCTCTACTTGTTGCAAAACTTTGGTCAATTGAAATTAAAAAATATTTTCCGAAAACTTCTAAATCAAGACATAAAATTCCATACATTGACAACACTCTGCTCTTCCTTATGAATCATTGATAATGACAACAATGGTAATTTCAAGACTTTAAAAATAGTGTATTTTTTCTTGATTTTCTGGAACTGAGCAGATTAGCATCTAAAATTATATACTTTTTCATTTTGGAAAGTTTTCTTCAAGACGTATTTATATGAAAACCTTATTGAACTGTGTACATATGGTGCCAGTGACTTGCTGGGAAAATGGTCTGAAGTATCAGGAAAAAATAAACACAAATTTCTAGGTAATTTCCTCTTATCTATTCTATGGCAAGAAATCCAATTATTTCTGAATAACATAATCAATTAAATCAATTAAATAAATAGATTTAAATTATTTGTCAATAAAAATTTTAATGTATTTAGATAAATCACAATCATTACAGATAATTAAGAATTTGTGTAGGTGAGAATTGAAATGAAACTTGGTAGATTATTTGGATATTGATAGGCAACTTTTTTTGCTAGAGCTAAAAATAAAATTTGGAAATTCTGGAACTGAAGATAATTAAAATTATGTAATAATATATAGCAGAGATATGAACATTTTCCTTCAAAGAAATGTATTTTGTGATGAAAATAGATTGATTATAACAAAAATGGTTGCACATATTAAAAACTAACAAAAAGGAATAATTGAAAAGAAACATACATATGATTGGTAAAACAAAACAGAGTTGTATAGTATAGTCTTTGAAACAAAACTAATGCCTATTTCAAATGGAAAGCTATTGAATTTTCTTATAAATCTGATAAATTACATGAATTATTTATTGTTTGATGACAAAATAATACAATATAATTTTAATTTACTAAATTTATGAAACCTTGATAGTTTTCTAGACAGTGTTTAGAAATCTCTGTGTATTAGCAGTAAGCAACAATAAAATTATCTAAAGATGATCTTCTGAAATAAATTTTTTGACTGTTATAGATTAACTGAATACTCTATTGAAAAATCTCAATATTATATCTAATTCAGAAAAATTTTAATGTCAGTAATGCTAATTCAGCAAGAAGGGAGAGTGAAATCATGGAGAATATTATGCATAACTAAAAGTACCTGTTAGGTTTGGAAGTCACATAGTGGCTGATCAATGAAGTCGTTAGAAGAATTTGCTGTAGTTGTCTGTATTCAATCATGACTGAGACAAGAGTATAGTTTAGCTAGGGATTGTAAGAGAGAAACAGTACAAACAAAACCCAAAAAAGGCAAAAAAAAGAAAAGATAATGTTAATATTTCTAAAAATTTTCAAACTATTTGGAATATTATTAGACATTTACTTAAAAGTTGTTGCTACTATTAATATTACATTCTCTGCAATTCAGTATTAAGAATACTGTAACTTATTTAGAGTATTAAAGATAATTTTATAAAATTCTTATATATAATTTGAGATATGTACTAATATTTATCTTTTTTGACAATCTCTGCCTTTTAACCACTATTTAGATCACTTATATTTAAAGCAATTACTGATATTGTTTGGATAAAATGTACTATCTTTGTAATGTTTCTATTTGTTGTGCATGTTCTTTTGCTTGTTTTATATTTTTCTGCTTTCTCTGGTTTTAATTGAGCATTTTATATAATTCAATATTATCATCTCTTGATATATTATTATTATTCCTTTGAAATTTGGTTTCCCTGAGATTTGCAATATACATTTTATTTTATTTTATTTTATACTTAAAATTCAGGGGTACAAGTGCAGGTTTCTTACACAGGTAAACTTGTGTCATGGAGTTCGTTGTACAGATTATTTTATAACCTAGGTATTAAGCCTAGTCCCCATTAGTTATTTTTCCTGCCACCCTCCACCCTCCAAAAGTCCCTATTGTGTGTTGTTCCCCTCTATGTGTTTATTTGTTCTCATAATTTAGCTTCCACTTACAAGTGAAACATACGGTATTTGGTTTTCTGTTCCTGTGTTAGTTTGCTAAGGATAAATGGCCTCAAGCTCCATCCATATCCCTGCAAAGGACATGATCTCATTATTTTCCATGGCTGCATAGTATTCCATGATGCATATGTGCCAAATTTTCTTCATCTAGTCTATCATTGATGGACTTTTAGGTTTATTTCTTGTCTCTGCTGTTGTGAATAGTACTGCAATGAACATACATGTGCATGTATCTTCATAATATAACAATTTGTATCCCTTTGGGTCAAATGGTATTTCTGCTTTTAGGTCTTCGAATATTCACCATACTGTCTTCCACAATGGTTGAACTAATTTACACTCCTACCAACAGTGTATAAGCATTCCTTTTTCTTCACAACCTTGCCAGGATCTGTTATTTTTTGACTTTTTAAAAATAGCCATTCTGACTAGTGTAAGATGGTATCTCATTGTGGTTTTGATTTTCATTTCTCTAATGATCAGTGATGTTGAGCTTCTTTTCGTACATTTTTTTGCCACATGCTCTTCTTTTGGAAAGTGTCTGTTCATGTCCTTTGCCCACTTTTTAATGGGGTCTTTTGGTTTTTTATTGTAAATTTGCTCAATATACTAATAGAAACTTGATATTAGACCTGTGTTGGCTGCATAATTTGGAAAATGTTTTGACCATTCTATAGGTTGTCTGTTTACTCTGTTGACAGTTTCTTTTGATGTGCAGAAGCTCTTTAGTTTAATTAGATCCTGTTTGTCAATTTTTTCTTTTGTTGCGATTTCTTTTGGCATATTTGTCATGAAATCTGTGCCCGTGACTATATCTTGATGGTATTTCCCAGGTTGTCTTCCAGAGTTGTTTTACTTTTGGGTTTTACATTTAAGTCTTTAATCCATCTTGATTTAATATTTTATATGGTGTAAGGATGGCATTTCAATCATCTGCATATGGTAGCCAGTTATCCCAGCACCATTTATTGAATAGGGAATCCTTTCCCCATTGCTTTTGTCAGGTTTTTCAAAATCCAGATAGTTGTAGGTGTGTAGTCTTATTTCTGGGCTCTCTATTCTGTTCCATTGGTTTATGTGTCTGTTTTTCTACCAGCACCATGCTGTTTTGGTTACTGTTAACCCTTCAGTATAATTTGAAGTCCAGTAGTGTGATGCTTCCAGCTTTGTTTTTTTGCCTAGGATAGCCTTGGCTAATTGGGCTCTTTTTTGATTCCATACAAATTTTAAAATAGTTTTCTGTAGTTCTTTGATGAATGTTGATAATACTTTAATAGGAATAGCATTAAATCTATAAATTGCTTTGAACAGTATGGCCATTTTAATGATATTAGTTATTCCTATTTATGAGCATGAAATATTTTTCCATTTGATTGTGTAATCTCTGATTTCTTTGAGGAGTATTTTGTAGTTCTCCTTGCAGAGATCTTTCCCTGGTGAACTGCATTCCTAAGTATTTTATTGTTTTTATGGCATGCCACATACATTTTAAAAGAATCTAAATCCACCATCAAGAGGCACTATCCTGTTTCACATGTAATGCAGTTGCCTAATAATACAGCACTCTCAATTACTTTCTCTCATTCCAGTTGATACTATGGTCATTCATTTTGTGTATGTTTATGCTATAAGCATCCATTGCATTGTTATCATTCCTTTGCTCAGTTTTTTAGATAAATTATGAAAAAATAAAATAATAATATTTGTATTTGTTCATGTTCTGACACTCTTGTTTTCTTTGTGTAGATCCAAATTTTGGACCTAAACCATTTTATTTCTGCCTGAAGATCTTCTTTTAAAAGGTCTTTCAAGGAAGATCAACAAGAAATTGATTTTTCTAAGTTTTCAGAAAAGAGAACTTCTAAATTTATCTTTCACAACTTTGTTATCAGAAAAGGGAGTTTTTAAATTTCTCTTTCACTTTTGTAACAGCCTTATTAAGATATAATCTACATGCATTTCAGCCTTTTAAACTGTCCAATTTACTAGTGTTTTTTAAACAGAATTGTGCAACTATCCCCAGTATCTGCAACCGTCACCAGTATCTAATTCTAGAAAAAAATTATCACCTTGATTAGAAACCCATACCCATTAACTTCTCCTTCACTCTTCAGTGAAATTTCTACTGAATATAGAATTTTGGTTCACAGATTTTTCCTTTTCTTTCAATATTGTAAATATATCACTCTGTTCTCTTCTTGTTTGCATGCTTTCTACTGAGAAGTTTCCTGTAATCCTTATTTTTATTTCTCTATAGGTAAGGTGTCCTCTGCTCCCTCAATCTACCCCAACCTCCCAAAACCTTTGAGACTCTCTCTTTCTCCTTTATTTTCAGCAGACACAGCAGTGGCAGTGTCACAGAGGAGAGGGTCACCTAATATTCTGATTGGTTCTTGGTGTTTTATTGGAACTGTGTCTTAGAGGTTTGGTCTTCAGAAGTGTTTCTGTTTCTTGTCCCCAAGAGAACCTTCTCACCTTCTGTTCTCTAGTCTCTTAACCACTGCAGTCTATTTATTTGAAGCTCTCTCCTCCGCTAACAATGCTTTTATTCATTTATTTCTCATTAGCTGATGCAGAAAATCTGGATTGGAATGCAGTTCTCTTTTCTCAGGTGTAAAAATTGCCTAACTGCTAATGTCATTACCTATGGAAACAAGGCCTTCTTTAGGGAGAAGAGTCATGATAGGAATGCTTTTCCTCCCCCCATGAGGGTGATGTATTGAGATTTCTAGGGTTTCTAGAATTCTCTCTGCCATAACCTGGTGGAGCTCCTAGAGGGAAAGTCTGCAGGGTGTCCAACCACCAATACTTCAGCGCTAGGGTATTCTCATGTTCACTTCCATACACTCATCCTCCAGCAATTCATCAAGATTATCATATATGATATTCTACCAGCTTTAAGCGTCTAGTGGCTTCTGTCCTAGGTAATCAAATCTTGAGTACACTATCTCTCTCTAGATGCATTTGACACTCAATATTTTGTGGTAGTGGTTTTTTCCTTTTCCCTCAGTTCTCTAATAAAACTAATAAAATTATTGTGTTTGTCTAGCATTTCCTTATTGTAAGGACAGGAGTAATAACTTCCAGGTTCTTTACATGTCAGGGATAAACTTGGAAATCTTCATCACTACCAGTTTTAAAACATTTGGAAAGTTTCTTCTGAAGCTCATGACACTCAAGTACTTTAAATATAGAATGCTTATAATTTTTTGATTGAATGATCTATTGGAGAGAGATAAAACTTGTGTACCCACATTTGTATGCCTGTTTTTACTCCTTGAATTTGTCGTCTCCAATTTTGATTGAATTTTATATAACTCTGTTTGTATTTCAATTTTAGCCTTGTTATACTTTCCTGACTCTGTATCTTAATTTTAAATTAAAAATATCTACGCACATTAATTAGTCTTCATGATACTCACAGGAAGAACATTCATGTCAGAGAACTCACATGCTATTGATTACTCAGCTTATAGATTGACTGCACGTAGGGTACCTGTAGTTTCATGAATTGTTGCTGGGGTAGTAAAGTCATGTTAACTACATGCTAGTTACGTTCAAGAAATTTCCTATATATGAGGAAGATATTATTATATCTGGCTTGAAAAATAAAATCAACCATTTATTGAAGACAGTATCTTTTGTACATTGTGTCTTCTTAGCAGCTTGTCAAAAATTAGATGACCTTATATTACTGGGTTTACTTCTGGTTCCTCTATTCTGTCCCACTGTCCTATATATCTATTTTTAAGCCAATAATGTGTTGTTTTGATTACTATAGCTGTGTAATATAATTTGGAATCAGGAAGTGTCATGCCTCCAACTTTGTTTTTCATTCCCAAGATTGTTTGGGCTAGTCAGTATCTTCTGTGGTTCCATTTAATTTTTTTTCAATTTATTTGAAAAATTAAACTGTTGATAGGGATTGCATTAAATCTGTATGTTGTTTTGAGCAATAGGAACATTTTAACAATATTAATTATTTTAATTCACAAATATGAGATATCTTTTTATTAATTTGTGTCTTTAAATTTCTTTTATCAATGCTTATAGTTTCCATGCTTTGTATTGTACATAGCTTTCACTTCACTTCTTTGTTTTAATTTATCTCTTAGTGTTTTATTCTTTCTAATGCTATTTTAAATGGGATTGTTTTCTTGATTTATTTTTCAAATAGATTTTTGTAGGTGTAAATAAAAGCAACTAATTTTGTATGTTGGTTTGGTATCCTGCTATTCTGATGAATTCATTTATTTGTGTAACAACTTTTTTGTGTGGAGTCTTTAGGGTTTTCTACACATTTGTAAACAGGGTTAATTTTACTTTTTCCTTTCTGATTTGTATCCCCTTTATTTCTTCTTCTTGTCTGATTGCTCTTGCTGTTACTTCCCTAACTATGTTAAATAGAATAGCATGGGCATCTTTGCCACGGCCCAGACTTTAGAGAAAAAGCTTTCAGTTTTTTTCTATTGATTACTATGATAGCTGTGGGTTTTTCATAAACAATCTTTATTAGGTTGAAGACAAATTCCTCCTATACTTGTTTTTTTGAGAATGTTTATCATTAAAGGATGCTAAACTTTGTCAAATGCTTTCTCTGCATCAGTTATGATCATCATGTGGCTTAAAAAAATCTTTCATTCTGTTAAAATGGCACATCACATTGATTGTGTATTTTAAACCACCCTTGTATCTCAGGAATAAATCCTATTTGGTTTTAGTGTATACTTTTTTGATATGTTGTTGAACTTTATTTGCTAGTATTTTATTGAGAATTTTTGCATATACGTTAATCAGAGATACTGACCCATAGTTTTCTTTACTTGCGATACCTTTGTCAGGCTTTGTTATCCAAATAGTGCTGGCTGAGTTTGGAAGCATTCAGTCTATTTCTACTTTTTGGAAGTGTTTAAGACGGTTTGATATTAATTTTTCTATTAATGTTTGATAGACTTCAGCTATGAAGCCATCTGGTACTGGAATTTTCTTTGATGGAAGGTTTTTGATTACTACTTCAATCTCTATTTGCTATTGGTTTGTTTAAGCTTTCTATTTCTTCTTGATTTATTCTTTGTAGATTGTATATTTCCAGTAATTCATCCATTTCCCCTAGGTTATCCAATTTATTGTCATATAATTGTTCATAATAGTCCTTTGTGACTTTTTATGTTTTTCCATCTTTTAAATAGGAATAATGGCAATATATATTTTATAAGGTTGTTTTAAAAATTTAAAAATTTCTATAAAAAAGCTTGAACCATAGCAAATATTACCTGTTACTTTTATGGCTTATTAAAGTGCTTCTTTCATAATAGGTGCTCATTTGCTACATGTTAGTTAATTAGCTGATGCCATAGATTAAACTGTAATAATCAAAATGATTAAAAGAGACAGACAGACTGTAGATAGAAATGAGCAAGATAATAATTAAAAGTAATAAAATGATTGTTTTTGGCTTAGATATGTGGAAAAATCTAATGTTCTACTTGATTGCTAAAAATAAATCAAGTGTACCCATGGTTTTTACATAGGTAAAGAACATTAAAATGTTTTAAAATAATACTGACTTTGAGATTACAATTATGTATTTGTCTATATAGATACATATGGTATATACCATGTATATATTCATCTGTGAGTATCATAATATATTTTAAATCAATATGAAAAGTAGAATGCCTACCGCAATCTATGATCACAACTGTCAGAAAAATCATGTCAACCATTTATTGTCTGAAAGAATTAAGCTTATTTAGACTCATACATATTTTCATAAATGGCGTACATTCTGGAACTAATAAAGAAAAAATACAATAATTAAATTTAGACTCAAAGTGAAGCAAAACTTTCACAATTTGAGATACCAGTGTTGATTATGCTGGCCTACAGTGAGCAGCTACTCAGTTTTCAGTCAAAGGAGAGAAGACTGTTGGTTATCTGATTCCATTTGTTTATTTAAAAAATTGATAATAAAAAGTAAAGCTAAATTTCCTCAAATGTGGAGCAATAGTTTCTTGTTGCTCCTGTACTAAACGGAACAGGTAGTTAATAGGCAAATGACTTTCTGCCCTCAGTGTTAGAATTATATTTCCTGTTTTCACTCTCGTGCATATGAATTTCTCCTTTCTAGTTTTAATAGTGTGGGATATTTTTGCAACTTTTAGTCTACTACACCCATATCATTCCCAACAGACTTTCTTATTCTGTATATAATAGGTAGCATTCTAATCAGTGAAGAGTTCATTTTTTTTCAATTCATTAATATGGCAAATGTGTTCTGCCTGTAACTCTCTTTAGTGAAATGTTGGTATTTGAAAATGAGAAAAAATTTAAATGACCTTCCAGCTCAGTAGACAGCCTCCCAAGCTGATGTGCTAGAAAAATTTGATAGCTAGCATAGTTCTTCCATTTGTGGGCTACCTAGGCTTCTCAGGCAATAGACAGGAAATTAGGACACAATTAAATGAATATGTGGAGACAATTTAAAGTTGAAAATGGAAAATCTCAATGGATAAGCACTGGCTTAAAATTGGCAGGTCAATACTAGAAAAAAACGAAATTTGAGGTAATGCATTAGGGAACAGCATATAAGTAATATGTATAACATATAAAATTTATATATTATATATATTACTTTTTTAATCTATGAAACATGTAGAATTATATTTATTTTACTTCTCTCTCAGGTTATTAAAGACAATTAAGAATTTCGATAATAAGTAAAAGAATTTGGTTATTAGTATATTATTATGTATGTGTGTGAGATGTAATAAACGGTAAATGTCATGTGAGCTATGAACTATTTTCATGGGACAGAATTCCATGTACACATGATTTTATGTACAATTTTAGCAAGACTGTGGATCATTTGAAGCCTATTTCTGAAGCCTCATTGGTCCCAAAAAGCCTAAGTTAAGAAATCTCACAAAAACTGTAGCGTGTGGCTAAGAACCTCACCTCCTTATCTATTATCCGCTCTTTGAACAACTGTGCTGTGTAGGCAGAGTAGAACTTTTTTTTTTTTTTTTTTTTTTTTTTTTGGTTAGTAAGTATATTTTAGCATTTTGCTGGCTGAAAATACCCAACATTATCATGTCAAGTAGGGCTGTTTAAGCACTGGCTTTTCTTTCAAGGTATGTACCTATGATTCAATGCCCTAACTTTTCACTAAAATAATAACTGAATGAGTCACAAGCTATTCAAGGGCAAAAGACTCTCTCTCATTCTCAACATACAGAGTATGGTATACAAAAAGTCACCTTCAAATGGAGGATAAATGGAGGGTCACCATATACATGCAAAGTCATCCACCAATGCAGTTATTTTTAACAAAAAATGAATAATAATTTTACCAAAAAATGAAGAATATTTTTGGGCAGTTGGGGTAGTAGTGAGAAGGGGGAACATGTCTATAGGATCAGGTTAATCCCTGTATAGATAAAAACTGAGAAACGCGTGTGACTGAAAATCTGTATAAAACTTCTAAGTCCATTGTAACACATAGGACAGGAAAAAAAAACAGTAATTTCAAGGCAGACATTCATTATGATCTCATCATCTCTATCCTGCACTATTTTCTAAAATTTCTTAAATTGTCTACCTGCCTTCAGGGAGGAAATTGAGGCTTAGAAAATATGAGATATTCATCCAAAGTCACACATTTATTCTGAGCAAAGAGGGGGTCCTTAGAGTTTTATCAGATATTTCAAAAAAATACAGGAATTCTGTGGATGTATATCCATTACTGAATATGGATTTAGAGTAAATTGCTATAAAACAATAGTAGCTTTTTAACAGATTTGAGAAATATCTTTGACAAACATTGATCTTCCCTCTTTCCCTCATCCCTCAGTAATGGCTATCTCCATTCAGAACTACTCCAATAGACTCATCATTGTGTCAGAAGAAAATAAAAGGATGTTGCCTAATGGCAATGAAATATAACAAAATTTAATAGGAAATTGAAAATATCCTTATGAACAAATGTAAGATTTTAGTTAAAAAGGCATGTTGTTGTTGGCATTACAATATTTTATATTTTTTCTATGAAGAAAATATTCCTTTTGATTTGTGACCAAAACAAAACATTAACTGAAGAGCAGTCTTGGACCCACACTTAGATATTTCAGACAGTTTCCTTTAACTTCTGTTATGTTGAAAACTTTTAGAAACTATTTTTATAGATCAAATGAGGACCACTTTGAAAAGCTCAGCTTGATTAAGAACAGACAACACACATTTAGAGAATAAAAGGAATCACTCACTACTTTTGTGAAATTCTTCAGGGACTTCACTCCAGGTAGACAAATGTGGGAAAGGAGTTAAAGAGGATTTTAAACTTAGATGTTTGGAAAGCCTTTGACAAAATTCTTTACAGTCATGTAAGATCAGTGGAAAGGATCAATGAAACTAATAGTAAATTGGCTCACTATTCCGAACAATGATTTATGGAAAGGAAACAATGATACTAAAAATAGGTTTTTGTGTCCAAACCAATTTTTAAAATTCTGCCTCTTCATAGGTCAGAAAAAAATGTACAACTTTCTAAAAAAAGTAAAGTAGATTTTTGTTTGATATGTGTTTAAGCATATATTTTACAATAAATGAAATAAAGTGAAAGTTTATATAACATTTAGCTGATGGCAAATAGTGTGTGTAATCACATTTGGGATTTAGGTTTTTAAAATGGTAGCAGATTTTAGGTAAAATATCTTAAGAATATATTGATACATACACAGAAAATATTAAACAAGTACTAAGAATTGGTCACTCAAAACCTCATATTTAACATCATCGCAAGAACTTTCATTACTTATTTTACTATAATTTCAATACCATGAATACAATTCCCTTTGTTGTTTGAGACAAAAGAAAGTCATCTGATTTTAACAATAATAAGAAATCGAGAGCCAAGTCACAGGGATTCTGTCTGTCTGGTTTAATGGTTTTACTGCAACAAACATAACAGTACCATACCAGAAAGTAATTCCTCAATAAATCTCTGAATAAATAAATAAGTGATCAAACAAACAGGATGAAATAGCACTACAATTGGAATGAATCATTGAAATATCAATCCCTGGCATTAGAGATTAATTGGCTTTACCATTTGCTCTCTCTCTACCTATTTCATATTAATATTACATAATCATTTATATTAGGATGATTCAGTTGTGGAAGACAAAAAAGCACAAACAAAAAAAAAATACTATTCTATTTTTAAGCACCCCTTCACAAGAAGGAAGGAGAGTGCTCACTGGCCAGGGACCAACTCACAACAGCTCCT
Organism: Homo sapiens; assembly: GCF_000001405.40. Classification (NCBI taxonomy): domain Eukaryota; kingdom Metazoa; phylum Chordata; class Mammalia; order Primates; family Hominidae; genus Homo; species Homo sapiens. Next base: position 64,419 of record NW_003315915.1, on the reverse strand, counting down.
TATACAACAAAATAACCACATTTTTTTTAAAAAATGAATAAACCTTTCAAGAGTTATTTTTGGATAAGCAGTGGAGTAAAGGCCTCCAAATTCTCAGACAGAGACTATGAGACATGTGTCACTCAGAAGGGTATGGAAAAATAAACCTTCACATTTTAAGTACAAAAAAAATGGTTATTTGGAGGACTACTAATAATATATGTCTGAAAAAAGTCACAGCTATGCGCCACTTTATATATCACTGAGGAAATATAAAAAAATTTGAGTCTTTGTCCAGGATAGTAAATATTGAAATTCTATAAAGGAGTTTCAGTATTTAACCAGTAAGTAAATCATTAAAGACTCCTCTTTTTTGTGATGAGATTTTAGAATGTTATATATTTTGTAATGAGAGTGTTACAATTGAAATTATGATGTAATAAAGATAATTCATGTTAAATGCTTTTGTATCTTAGCATACTAGGTATTTTACAGAGTATTTCATGTGCCTTCCCTCATTACTCCTCAAAAAACTCTGTGCAACTATTCCTTTTATTATTCACATGCAACACCTAAACACAAACTGAGCAAGTAAGGTTTGGAAAGGAGATTTATTTTCAACTCCTAACTATGAGCCTATGTTTTTACCCTCTATGCTATACTACATTGACATTTCCTGTTAAAAAGTTAGAGGAAATTAGCACAAAGATCATACCAGCTATATGTGGACTGGTGTAAGCTACACATTTTGATGGACTCTTAAAAGATTCTAATGAAGGATAATATTGCCTTCAAATAGTTATAGCTTTTAAGCGACTTCAAACTATAATGCACATCAGAGGGATTCAGATGAATGGAGAAATCATGATGAAACTTGTGTTCCTACAAAGGTAAAACTACTAGAACAATAATAATGAGCTGGTACATTACATTTCCTGGGAGTCTTAGGGGGAAAAAAACCTCAAAATATAATGTCAACTTTGTTTCGAACTGAGAGTATGAACTTCTGTTTTCCATTCAATTTTTTATTTTTATTTGCTATTATTTTTGACACTAATTATTACATATGCTGTCTCTATTTTCCATTTATTTGTCTTTTTTTATTTTCCACAAAGTTAAATACAATTAAAGTCACATTAATGTAGACGGATGGTATTACTTTAAGATCCTTTCTCTTATTGTCCAGTACAATGATAGAACTGTAGTATCCTCACATAGAAGGGCGTTCTTTCCTCTACCCATCCCAAATACTAAAAGGAACTAGGAAACAGGAGGTAAGATATCAGAGCCAGCTTAAGAAAGAAAGAAAGAAGGAAAGAAAGAAAGAAAGAAAGAAAGAAAGAAAGAAAGAAAGAAAGAAAGAAGGAAGGAAGGAAGGAAGGAAGGAAGGAAGGAAGGAAGGAAGGAAAGAAGGAAGGAAGGAAGGAGGGAAGGAAGGAAGGAAAGGGAAAGAAAGAAAGAAAGAAAGAAAGAAAGAAAGAAAGAAAGAAAGAAAGAAAGAAAGAAGGAAAGAAAGCTTTAACTGTAAAGTTTATCTGCAAAGATATTCTTTTATTTCCAGGTCTCTCTCACAGGCATTATTTCTACCCCCAGTAAAAAGAGGTAGGCATCTAGAATATTTGTTTGCTCATTCATTGATTCATTCACTCATTTTAGTCAAAATGTATTTATTGAGTGGTGATATATGCTTTGCACTATACTAGGTGCTAGGCAGAAAAATGATAGGCAAAAATACATTCACTTTAGGCTCTTTTCATATTTCTAGATGCCTTTAATTATCAGTAGGACTCAAGCAGGATGGTTGGCTTGATATTTGCTGATGCCCATAACAGCATCCCTCAAAAGACATAGTACGCAGTGAAAAAATACAGTTAGTGAGTTCAAAAAGATCTGTTTTTTCTTTTTTTCTTGTGTCTATGTGGTAACTTACCACATGGCCTTAAGAAAAATTTCTAGCTATGCCAGGCTCCAATTTTCTTGCCTCTGAAATAGACATAATTATTATGCCATTTTGTGAATAGTCAGATAAATCATATATATCAAACTTTTTACTTTAATATTACACAGAAGGCAGTGGACAAATGCCTTCACTCAATCCCTCACTCACCTATTTAACAACTATCTCCTAAGTGCCTACGAAGTGCAAGGCACTGTGCTGGCTCTGAACATAAGCAAGTAGGGTGTAAAGATGTGGCATCTGCTCTCTCAGACTCACAGTCAAGTTAAGGAAACAGAGACTCATCATATAACTGCCTCATAAATCATGTTATTCAGATCGTCCTCTATGCTAGTGATTATTTAAGATGTTAGATAGATTAGGAGATAAGGAGTCTACAGGAGAGAAATATGGATTAAGGAAGGTTTTTTAGGAAATGATACGTAATTTGTGACTAAAATACAAGAAATGTGGGGTTATAGCAGATAAAATGTATATATGAAAAGAAATGATGCAGAACATTTTTGTCTCTTAGGTAGCACAGTAATTTTCTATTGCTGCTGTGATAAATTACCACATATTTAGTGGCTTAAAACAACACAGATTTATTATCTTACCATTTTGTAGTTCAGAAGTCTGATGCATCTCTTGCTGTGTTCGAATGTCAAGTGTTGGCAGGAGTGCATTCCTTTCTGGAGGCATTCAGAAAGAGAATTCATTTTTTGTTTTTCTAGCTCCTGGAGGCTGTCCTTGGCTTTCCTTGACTTTTCTTAGCATTCATTTCCCTCTCACCTGCAAAGTCAGCAATGTCAGGTCTACTCTTTCTGATTCTGCCCTTTCTTTGATTCTCCCTTCGGATTACTTTTTCCACTGTTAACAAGCCTTGTGATTATATTGGGCCCACCAGAGCAATCTAGAATAATCTCATTTATTTTAAGGTCAACTAATTAGCAACTTTAATTTTATTTGCAACCTTAATTTCTCTTTGCCATGAAAGGTAACATGAACACGATAAACATGAGTTCTACTGATTTAGATGCAGACATCTTTGGCAGGGGTTGAGGGGAGGAGGAACTATTCTTAAAATTTTAAAAATCCCTGTAACTGTAGTCTAAATAGATTGCAGGAAAAGCACCCTGGACATGGAGTAACTAATTATCAGGCTGTTGCAGTGGTACAAAAAAGGTGATGGTGGCTTGCTCTATGGGAGGAAGTGAAGTAAAAAAAATACAATAAGAGGTTTGGGAAGAGTCAGTTTTGATAATTGAGTTACAGGTGGTGGCTACTGACAGAAAAGAGAGTGTTAAGTATGAATCCCAGGTTTCTGAAACTAGCAGTTGGATGGGAGAAATTTTCATTTTTGAGATACTGACCACTGAAATGCATCTTCTTTTTGGAGAGAATATAGTAAATCCAAATTTGCATGTGTTAAATTGGATGAACCAAATAGATACAATAAAAATGTTATTTGACAATGAAATATGCAGATGTGGAACTTTATTAGTCAGGTTTCTCTAGAGGGACAGAACTAATAGGACAGATGGATAGATAAAGGGGAGTTTATTAAGGAGCATTAACTCACACGATCACAAGGTCACACAATAGGCCCTCTGCAAGCTGAGGAGCAAGGAAGCCAGTTCGAGTCCCAAAGCTGGAGAACTTGGAGTCCGATGTTTGAGGACATCCAGCAAAGGAGAAGCATCCAGCAAAGGAGAAAGATGTAGGCTGGGAGGCTAAGCCTGTCTAATCTCTCCACGTTCTTCTGTCTGCTTTTTATTCTGACCATGCTGGCAGCTGATTAGCTGGTGCCCACCCAGACTGAGGGTGGGTCTGCCTCTCCCAGTCCACTGACTCAAATATTCATCTCTTTTGACAAAAACCTCACAGACACACCTCAGAACACTATTTTGCACGCTTCAATCCAATCAAGTTGAAACCTCAGTATTAAACATCACAGAAACCAAGGATATTAATATGAAAGTTGTCAACATAATGATAATAAACTAAATCTCAAAAATAAATCTGTTCACCTGCAAAGAAGGTAGAGAGTTGAAAGCCGAGAACACGTAGATGCTCTAAATATCTAACAACACTTAAATCATGGGGAGAAGAGTATGAACTTTGAAAAAAGACAGTAATAAGTTGCATATGTATAGGAGAAAGCCAGAAAATGAATATTTAAAAGAGGGAAGACTGCTAAGAGTATAAAATGTTTCAAAGCTCAAGGTAGATGAAGAAAGAAAAATTTGCTGAAAAGGATTTTTTTGGGTAAATTCTACTTACTCTTCCTGTGAGCCAAATGCAATGCTAAATATTAGTTACAAAAAGATGAAAAGAGCATTAAAACCTGACTTAATAAACTCACATGCTAGTGAAAGCAAATCCACCTAAATGTTTATTTTGAACATAAGGTGACAACTGAGATGAAGTTGTACTCATAGGATGCTGTGAGAGTGCAAAAGAGAAGACATGTAGCAAAGGCTAAAGAGGAAACCCACCATGGTTTTTGAAATATTATACAATTTAGGTCAGATGAAGAAAATTATTTCAAGACCAAAGGACCATCATAGGTAAATACATATGAAGAAACTGTGACTGAATTTAAATTGTCAGGAGTTACATTTTCAGATTGACAGAGGTAGGTCACAGTATATAGGACTTCATTCTGAAAGCCACAGAGCTTAAAACTTAATCTTACATGATGGAGAACAACTGACAGATTGTAAAAGTTGCTGTGAAATGAATTAGTGCAGGTATAAAGTGTGGATGGCTTTGAGAAAGTCCATTGTAGTAAGTGGATGTAGGAGGCTCTTGGTATAATCCTAACACAATAATATGAGAGATTTTAAAAGAAAGAAACAGAATCTAGAAATTTTCACAACATAAAAACCAGCAGGATGTGATTAATTGCATTTGGAGAGAAGGAGAAAAGAGATTTAATGTGGCTCTGAATTTTCTGGTTTGGGCAACAAGGTAGAAGATATTAACATTAAATGGAGAGGAAATGAAGGAGGAAGTCAAGGTTATTATGGAGTGAAAAATGAGGACAACTATACAAATGTTCAGTTTAACATTCCTTTGGATTCAGGAATGTTAAAGACAAGTTAGCAATGTCCTGCAAACATGTAGACATCTGTTTCAAGGGAGACAACAGGGTTTGTGACAGGAATAAAAGAGATCCCCCCTGCCAGAATATATATGGCAGGAGAAGAATAATGGGCCGGGTATGGAAACTTTCATGAACACCAGTGTTCAAATAACTGTTGGAGGAAGAAGTAGAAAAAGGCAAGCAGCAAATGGTCAGAGAAACTGGAAGAGGATCAGCAAGAAACGGTGTTTTAAACAGCCCAAGTAGGAAAGAGTTTCAGAAGGAGAGAGAAAGTGATCAGCACTCCTTGAAGAGATATGAGGAGGAGAGACAAAAGAGGTACACAATTCTAAAGCATACTTCTTCTGTCATCCCTATGAGGACCTGAATAGAAAAATGATTTAAATGCTTAATTTGACTGTAAAACAAAACACAATCAAAATACAACAATGACAACAACAAAAACTCTTGGGAAACTCATTATTTTTTAACTAGTAAGTGTTCCAATTATAATAAACAAGCATCTAAGTTGTCAGAAGAGCATCAAGTGTACCATTTGCCAACATTGTATGAGAATAAAAGGATATGGCCCAGGAGACCTGATCAAGTGTTTGCAGAGAATGAGGAAGTTAATGAAGCAAAGGCAGTGGGAGTCTTTTACCTAGATCTCAGCAAGACATTTGATAAATTGTTATATAAGATGCAACAAAGAGAAAAACAAGGATTTTGAATCAATGCTGTAACAAGCTAGGAAAAAAGATGAGTGGATGTGGAGATTTCCAGCAAATGTTAGTAAATTGTGTTTGAAAGAGGAAGCAGCAGGGTTCCTTTGAGCTCAATGCTATTATGCATTCCACTTAATGCCCATAAAACAATTGTGAGAAAAGAACCACAATCAATGTTGGCACTAATTTGAGCCCTTGTTGGCAGCATCAACAGTTGTGATTGACTGTCTAAATTAATTCCAATTAGACTGTGATTCTGTAGACCAGATCATCTTAAATTATAATATTGTGCTTTTTATTTTAAATAGCATTATGGATCCATAATGTAACATAATCAATAACTGTTCTCATTTAATAAACAACTAGAGAACAATGATATGCTTATAAAAATTATAACAGAAGCAAGTATTGAATATGGTTGTCATGTCCTGGGAGTTTGATTCTGGAGAAAGCAAAGGAATCAACTTAAAAGACTATTTCTCAATTTCTCAAAAGTGAATAGGATAAAGGCTGGGGAAATAATTCAAGTAATCATTATCTAATGAATTTAAGCTGGTAAGAAAAATATGTGTAAAAGCCAGAAGGATGGAAACCAGAAAAACCAGATAAGAGAGGCTAGAGAATTTCCATGAGGATTAGTGAAATTTTAAACTCAAATATTTGTGTTCTAAGATCAGTGTCCTTTTCAATACTTTTTATTTATTATCTAAATTTACATCTTAACACATTTTGTATTATTATATTTTAACATTTTAAAATAACACTTTTTTGTCCTTGTCTGAATTAAACTGTGTAAAGTATCCCTCAAACCTGTTCCTGCCATCATCTTCCACAAATCTGTAAGTAGTATTACATACCCCCAATAGATTAAAATATTTTCAATGTCTTCATTTTATTTTTTCCAAAGCTCAAATCCAGTAACTCCACTCATACATTTATTTATTCATTATTTAATGAAAGTCTAGTTTGCACTAGGCACTATTCAAGATCTTGGGAATTCAGCAACCAAAAAATAAATGTCTAAAGTCCTGGGTTTATATTCTAGTTAAAAAGAAAACAGTAAACACACAGACACAAACACATAAAATATGGCTGGTGCTAATAAGCACTATGATAAATAGATTTGAAAGACTAATATAAAAATATTTTTGATTGGGATGAGATTTTATAGTGGCAAGAACAGGCCTCTTGCTGAAGTTATACTTGAGCAGGGACCTGTGTGCAGTGAGGGAGTAAGTTATATGGATATCTGAATTAAGAACTTTCCAGACAGAAGTTAAACCTACAAAGGCACTGAGGCAGGAATGTACCTTGTCAGCCAGAAAAACAGCGAGGAGGCCATTGTGGCTGGAAGTGAACATGGTGGGAAATGGAATCAGAAAAACATTGATGAGTGAAGTGGAAAAGCAGATTCATGTAAAATTTTGTGGGGCATGATTAGAGATAAAGACTTTGGATTTTATTGCAAAAAGAGAAGATGTTGAATGTTTTTCAGCAGAAAAGTGATATGATTTAAAATATTGCTTTGAAGAACCTTCTCCAGCTACTGTATGACAAATTAACTCTAGATGGGCAAGTGTAGAGATAGGGAGTCCAGTTTAGGCATAACAGTGTTAATAATTTGTGTGGCTTTCCATCAGCTTTACACTCAACGTATATCTTTTACTCTTACTTTTTATCAGAATTTCCACAGCTACTACTTTGGTCAAAGTCACCATTAATCTCTCACCTGAAATAAAAATCAAATACCTTAGGGAGGTACAAAAGGATATGGTTCCTTGGTTAAAACTCTTATGTCTTTATATTTGTTAGTGTATTTGACAGGAAACAAGGAGATTCCTGAATCAAAGAACAGGTTGATATCTACTCACAGAGCACCTTAGCTCTGGTTGCCTCTACATCAATTATACAAGGGTCTAATGTCACTTGTACATGCAAATGGGGTTTGCACCACAGGAGAGGAGTCCCAAAATTGTGATACTGAAACCTGTACATAGAATGGCTGACACATTTGTTTCTCCTCAGCTCCAGAGAAAGGAAGGGATACTTTGCAGTGTAAATGCACTTATCTGTGAAGAGCAGGGAAAGTCTGCACCTTACCGCTCTGAAAGGTAAGTATGTGACAGAGGAGAGACAAGAGATAATATCTCTTTGGAGTCCTCTGGGACTGCTGTTCAAATGTCCTTTAACTCAGATATCAGTACTCTTTGTTCAGAAAGCCCCAACCATGCAGAAATGTGAAAATATTCATTGAGGTTTGTTTCCTGCCCAAATCTTTAATTGTCTTTCCTGTATTTCCCCATCATTCACTATGCTGCAGCAACAACTGCTGTGCAGTCCCTCCTATGTGAGAGCCTTTGCCATTGTTGCCCATTGCTGAAATGTCGTCTCCCTCAGATCTTGTGGCTTTCTCCCTGATTTCATTCAGATCTCAGCTCAAAGGCAACTCCACAGAGAAATCATCACTGCTCACCCTATGCAGCAAAGCTTCCTCAGAGACACACTTTCCAACCCTACTATATGTTATCTCTACCTGAAATTTTATTGTGCATTTTGTTTATTTTCTCCTACTCAAACAATTAAGTTCTAGTGTAAATGGATTCTACCATCTTAGTCATATCAATATTCCCATCACATAGAAATAGTAATGTATGGAATAGTGAGCTTCAATATGTGAGTGTCTATCTTGTGTTGCACAATTGAGCAGGAGATGTATCTTATTTTTTAAACAAATTCTTACCACACCTTTATCAATCTGTGGTTGTATAACTCGACACAATCAAGAAAATGAATGCTTAAGTTAATGCTCCCAAGCAAAATGGCTAGCATGTAAAAAGCAGGCTATTACTTAGTTCTGTTAGGTAGTGGTCTTCTCCGTTAACGTTATTTATACCTCTAAAAAATATACTCAGATATATAGCTAGACACCTATCTCTACCTATCTCTATTATATGTCTTTATCATATAGAAATATTAAAATCTCTACTACATTGGTATCAATCTCTATATAGATAAGCAATTATATAATATATATGAGGTCTTCATATAGATACTCTCTTGAAACTTCTTTTTACTTATCCGAATTTCCTGTATCATTATTAGTGAATATGTAAAATAAAACAACTATAGAGTAATCACTTCTGTGAAATGTAATTTAATAGACCTTTTTCTTTGAAATTTGAGTTGTTTGTCTTCCACAAATATTTATCTATGGTTTTGTTTCACCCAGTGACATGAAGTTCTGAAATAAATAAACTTGGCTATAAATTTATGCTCCCAAACAACTTTTGAATTTTGATTTTTTTTTCCATTTTGATTTGACTTAGGGCAAAAGCATCAATCAACAACCATGGTCATGCCAATCTGGTTGATGGCTATATTTCTCATTTTAATTAATAGTTTGGCATTATAATTTCATGCAGCCTTGAGTATATTATTCAGATTTCTGTCTGTCTTGGGCCTGGGTGGAGAGGAAAATTTTATTTACTGTGATAGAGGACAAACACGAGGGAGAAGAAGATACATTTGACAGACGCCATGGTGGTATTAGCCTGGGACATGTTAATTTTGAGATGCCAGCTGGGTAGTTAGTGAATACATAGAAAATGTAGTTAGCTATATAATTCTAGAGTTAATGAGAAATATGGACTAAACTACATAGTTGTTAATTGCACACATGTTAAAGACATGGTAATCAATAAAATTACCCAAGAGAATACATAGAATAAAAAGATAAATTCTGTTACTGAAGTTTTGGAACAGTAATATTTATAATATGAATAGAGGAATAGATACCACCAAGGACGAATAACAGGAGTGGCCTGAAAAATAGGCAGAGACACTGAAAGTGTGATTTCACAACACCCAAGAGAATGGACAATTTCAATGTCAGTGGAGTATCTGATAGTGTAAAATATAGAGTCAAATAAGATAAAGATGCAAAGGTGTTTAATGATCTCTGCAGCAATGATATTCTTGACCATAACCTTAAACACAACCTTTTCAGTGGATTGGATGAGACAGATGCCAGCCTGCAACAAGTTCTGGAGTATATTGGAGGTAAAAAAATAGACACAGTAATTATAGGCAATTTTTTTCAAAAAGTTGTCTGTGAAGAAAGAGACTAATTGAGAGAAGAAGAACCTTGGAATGGTAGAAGAAATGGGATCCAAAGTAAAGTGAATTTTAAAAGGAACATTCTTTCTATTCTAATAGGAAAGGAGAATAAAAGCACACGAGTACAGAGTAATAGAGACAATGGTCTGGAGCATCTGAAAAGCAGAACAGTATATACTGTAGAGCCTGCAGGCTAGATTCTATTACACTGTAAACTTTGCATAAGATTATATAAGCTTTTCCCTTAACCTTCAGTCAAGTAAAACTCCAAGATATTTATGCATGAACAGCTCATAAAAATCATATCCTTGTATAGTTTATTTTCTGAATGTCTATGTTGTGTAATATAAGAAACATAATCACCTGTCGTCAGTCAAAATTGGATTTCCACTCTTACTCCAGAATTTACAGTTTGTATCTTCCATCCTGATATTAAGCTTACTTGAAAATTGAAATCGTATTATCTACACCAGTGGCTGTCAAACTGTTTTGGTAAAGGGCCAGATAATAAATATTTTAAGGTTTGCTGGTCATATGTTTAGTTGTACGTATTCAATTTCACCATCATAGCATGACAGCAGTCATAGACAATACAAAGTAATGGGCAAGATGGCAGTCCAATAAAACTGTATTTACAAGAAGATAGCAAGCTGAATTTAGACTGGGGCAGCATTTTGTCAATCCCTGACCTACAAAATGGTAGTTAAAATGAGATTGAACATACATAATCTACAGAATGGTGTTAAGCACATCATAGAATTTCTGGAAATATTAGATATTTTAATGTGTTTCACAGTGTTTGGGCTTTTCATTTCCTTAAGAAAAGGAAATAAAGGATGGAATTAATATTTTAGAGCTGATTATTTTTGGCAGCACATTTATATTTATGATGCAAATGTGTTTCAGGTGTGCTGTAAGTTCATTTGTTAATCTCCTCAGAATAATCAAATGCTATTTTTAACAACTAATATTCATCTAAAGCAGTTAGAATTAGATATGACAATGAATGGGTTGTACATATCATATGAACTATCTGAATTCATTCTTATTTTTGTGCATTAATGTTTATTCACGGCATCAACACCAGAAAACTCTCCTTATTGACTATACAATGCGACAAGAACCTTCACTTCCTGTTAAATCATCTCATTTGACCTGATTATGTCTTCAGTTGTGAGTTGTTTCCATTAGCGAATGTGTTTGTTTTGCCCAAAAATGTAAAATAGATTTTTATTTTTATTTAATTACCTTTTATTTTTGTACAATGTATTCAGTAATATAGATAGAATGTCTGCTTATTTTCTTAACTATTTTTGTTGGTATCATTTTAACTAGTATTATGTTAACTATATATTAAATATGTTTATACTGTATATGTATATAGTATTGTGTTAAAAATATGAAAGTAAATATGATTTTTTTTTTTTGGAGAGGGAGTCTCCTCTGTCACCCAGACTGGAGTGCAATGGCACGATCTCGGCTCACTGCAACCTCTGCCTCCCAGCTTCAAGTGATTCTTCCGCCTTAGCCTCCAGAGGAGCTGGGATTACAGGCACATACCACCATGCCAGGCTAATTTTTAAATTTTTGAAGAAATGGGGTTTCATCATCTTGGCCAGGCTGGTCTTGAACTCCTGACCTCAGATGATCCACCCTGCTCTGCCTCCCAAAGTGTTGAGATTACCGGTGTGAGCCACCGCACCAGGCCAGTTGATTTTTAAGATATCATTATTTCCAACTTTTTACTTGAATGAATGATTGATTATTGGCCTTTCTTTATAATAATTTACCAGAGTGTTATTCTGTATGAAATTTTATGATGATAAGTATTTAACTTCACAAATTAAAATTGGTAATTTCTAAAAAAAAATTATAAAGTAAATAAAGATAATTTAGTCATTTATAGATTATGGATATAGTAATAATCATATTACTATTACCAAATCTATTTAATCATTAGTGAAGACATGGCATCTTCTTCACACAGTGATGTAAGTTCATCTAAGGAAAGATTGATATGTCTAGTCCCAGTTCTCCATTTAATTTGGAGAATTTAGGCACATGATTTAAGAGAAATAGTTTCCAGTTTGCTCAACTGTAGAAGGAAGAATTGATAATATATGTGTTACTGTTTAGGCTGAGCTCTGGAGCTACTTCAGAGATTTCTCACAACTCAGTGGGAGCTACCATTGGAAGGGAATGTTAATGAAGGAGGTTGAGCTCATTTCACCCCTCTACAGTGTCTCAGATTAAAATACGACCTCTTATCCCACTTTCCATGTTAGGCGTCACTTCTTCCAAAGAAATACTTCTATTGAAAACAATTGTTTGAAAACCATTCCCCTCAATGACTATGTTGGACTCTTCTGCCTCTCAAATGTTTGATTCTGTCTTTTTTCCTTTCTTTCTTTTTTTTTGAGACAGAATCTTGCTCTGTTGCTCAGGCTGGAGAGCAATGGCACAATCACGGCTCACTGCAGCCTTCACCTCCCGGGTTCAAGCAATTCTCCTGTTTCAGCCTCCTGAGTAGCTGAGACTACAGGCACGTGCCACCACACCAAGCTAATTTTTGTATTTTGAGTAGAGATGGAGTTTCGCCATGTTGGCCAATCTGGTCTCGAACTCCTGACATCAGGTGATCTGCCTGCCTCGGCCTCCCAAAGTGCTGGGATTACAGGCATGAGCCACAGCATTGGGCCGTGATTCCATCTTAATTATTCTGTCTTAATTTATATGTTATTTTAGGAATTAAAAAAAATACTCATGCAATCTATTATGCTGTGCTAGCTGAAACCTCTCGTATCCCTGTCTACAAAATGTGGTTGTTTGCCTCTGTACATCATGTTCTTATGTAGGTCACCTGGAACCAGTGCATTGCTCCCAATCCTTCACTCCCAATTTGTGAACCATCCTTCTCCATGACACTGATGTCTACGCAAGCTCATCACTCACTTTGGAGTGTCCTCCGAAGCTGGCAAAATTATGAGATTACATATCCAAATTAGTATAATACTATTTTCCTTGCTTAAAATACATATTAATTTATGTAAAAATGTTTACCTTATATATGAACTATGTTACAAAACATACATAGCAGAACTTTTAAAGAATTGAACTATTGATAAAATAATACTTTAAAGAACTCCGTTCTAAAATTAGTGAATTTTTAGGAAAAAATATATACTTAGAGCAAGTTATATTTTAATATTTTAAGTGAATCTATATTTCTAAGATACTTTTAATAACTTGAAAATTATGGGTCATATTTCCTGTTGGAACTGACCAGATTATGATTTACTTTGTGAATTAGCAGATGATAGGCTAATATAGCACATATAAAAAATGTCAGTCCTGCTTTTTCCTGTTTGTTCACTTGTGCATATGTACCTAGAACTCTTTGATCCAGAATATTTTTGAAATTTTTTCTCTTGTCCATAGTACAAGGATTTTTTTAGTTAAAATTAGAAATAGCCATGAATCTCAATATATTAAAAGTAAATAGAAAAGTAAGAGCATCTTTGTCTGCTCTCCCCTTATGTACTTGTCATGTTTTTGAACTACATTCAGTGCATTTTTGAAGCATAATTTCTTTTTTTTAACAAATACATTAACATTTTAGCACTTTGTCACGACACTTTGGTTTTTGGTACCCTGGAGAAGGTGAGGACCTTGCTTTTGCATCCTATACTTCATTGCTTTCTACCATTACACATCTCTTTAATGTTTTATTTTATACGTTCTTTTACATGTGTGAAAATCTGAAGAGTAGTTATTTTGTCATGATCGCTTTTATAGTTCGTAGGTATTTGGTGAATGCATCAGAAAGAATAATAGATCAATATACACATCAGGTAAATTATGTAATTTTTATAGCATAAGTATTTGGTGTCCTCGTTTCAATTTTTTCCAGGCTTTGGCAGTATGACCATGTTTTCTGGAATACAATATGATAGACTAAGTGTTCATTCATACATGTGATTAGCTGACCCAAATCATTTTCACACTAGTTCCTGTCAAGAGGTGTTGCATTGGCTCAAGTCTCTATTGGGTTGAAGACATTAGTGGCTTTCTATTCAGGCTCATGGGCTAGTAGGTTTCTGAATTTTCACAAGCAGATTTAAGCCCTAACAAAACTTAGCTGCTTACTGGATGAAGCCTATTTATTTTCATGTAGTGATCATAAAGAGTTGGTGTACTTAATGCATTCATTTCATGACAATATTCTTAAACATTGTACCAGACAAGACTTATTGAAAGAATCTTCCAAAGAAATAGTATTTTTGGTTAATTTCCTACAAGAAAAATAATCTGTCATTTCATACACTGTGTAATAACAATAACCAATATTTATTTGCTGTTTAGTATGCCAGATTATGAGTTAACTTTATCTCAATTAATTCTCAGAACAATCCCAATATGTAAGTCCCATTATTATTTCTATTTTAATGATTAAAATCACCACCATCACCACGAACACCTCAAAAACCTGTGGTTTCTAACCTCTATTCCCTGATCTTTGCCAAGGGAGCTGCTGAAACTAAAGTATATGTTAGGATTTTCCCAAGTTTAACACAAGAAATACCACTTCAGACCCTCATTTTTTACTTGCCATGATTGCATATTTAAATAATGTTGATAACACTAACTAGTTGATCCAATGTGCATCAACCTGAGGGAAAACTGCTTTATCCTTAAGTCCTGGCAGGAGAGACCAGTTGAAGTTCTCTTAGGCCACAACCCAACTTGTTTGTGTTGCTATCATAATTGCTGCTGTTTTAATTTTACAGTCATCTTATAACATGTAATTGGTTGCATTTCCTTCTCTTTGTGATCTTTGCTAGAAATGTCAATGTGAGTTTTCATCTCATACCAAAAAAAAAAGATAGGAATTAAGACATGCATTTTATTATTCAAACATCCTCTCTATGGTTCACTTCATTTTCCTTAACCTTTTTTTTTGCTTCTAATTGATGTCCTAATTTCTTATTTTATCTTGCATTAAATATATTTCTCAAATAGCATTAAACATGGTTTGGAATATCACATGAGTGATATATAATATCACAAGTGATATGACATATATATGTCATATATAATATCACGAGTGATATCACATGAGTGATACATATAACTGTAAAAACAATCATGACAAAATATCTACTCTTCAGATTCTCACACATGTAAAAGAACATCTAAACTAAAAACATTAAAGAGGTGTGTGCAATAGTAGGAAGCAATGGTAGGAAGCAATATATATATATATATATATATATATATATAGGTTTTTTGTACCCTCTAGAAGATGAGGACCTTGCTTTTGCATCCCATACCTCATTGCTTCCTACCATTACATACACCTCTTTAATGTTTTTATTTTAGATGTTCTTTTACATGTGTGAGAATCTGAAGAGTAGATATTTTGTCACGATTGTTTTTACAGTTATATATATAATACTTTTATATATATATAATCACATAGCTCTCTGAAGATTTTAGAATAAAATCCTATTTGACATCTGCCTTATTGACATATGATCGCTATGTTTTCACAGTTTTCCCATGAAAATTGTAATCTAAAATACTAGCTATTATAGCAAATATTAAATTTTTAAAATATATTACAATAGGCTGTAAGTCATTTTAAATTTTCTAAATATTGGATTCTGGCTCTGATTTCCATATTTTTCAATACTACCTCAACAAATACCAATAAACCTTTATTGCCTTTTTTTCTGATTATAAAACTAGTGAATATTCTTCAGCAAAAATTAGGTAAATAATGGAAAGTATAAAGAACAATGGAAAAATAATTTATTGTACCACTACTTAACTTGATTTTTTTCTGAGTGTGTGCATATATGTGCACTGTTTTCTTTCTAAATCTCTAGTGTTTTAAAACACTAGCACTTCACGAATCATCAATCCTAAAATTGTGAACTGACACTAGTTTTTCATTACAAATAACGGTTTATCTTCCCATCATATTTCTACTTTGGAAATGTCCAACACCTCAAATCAAGTGGGAGGAAAGATGGGTGATGGCAGGGAGGAGGTTGTGCACTTTTAACAAAGGATCTTCTATGTAATTTTCTCTTACAAATAAAACACTGTGTCTTCTGGAATTTTGCAAGAAAGGCATTTAGCCCAGTCAGCACTGCTGTAAATTTCTAAACATCAGCTAGACAGAATTGAATTCAATCTTTTATGTGCCTTGGGATACATCCAACGCATTTCTTATTTTCCTCAGAAATCCTGCTGACTTGGAGCAGGTGTGTCTTAAAATAACAAAAACTCATCAAGGCATGATTGTTATCGTTCTGATGGCTTCATCTTAACTCCTTCCTGTTGTGCACACCTGGCCACATGAGCACCTGTGCATGCAACAGGGAATCCCACAGAAAGGTTCTCTTTTTATTGTTGTTATGGAGATAAAAAGGGATTCCGGTATTAACAACTGATGATGGACATTGACTGTAGAATTGAGCTGAAAGGAGAAGTTTTCATATTCAGGGGTCCACCTGTGAATGGTTTGTCACTGCTTTCTTCAGTTAAGTTTCTTTGCAGAATAACAGGAATAGATTCCTCAGTATACAGAGAGCTCATATGCCCTGTTCTTATCACTAATTGAATAATAATTTTTCTTTTAATTGAAACACACAGATATCTGTTCAGTATCAACACCAAAGTTGTTACTGACCATGGCTTACATTGCCATTCTCGTTTTGATTTAGGTAAGCAGTTTTCTGTAATTTTTTTAGTCATGACAAAATATGATTAAATACTAAGCAACTCTTAAAAGTAAAGTAAATCTTTTATTTACTCAATATAATTTTGTAACGTGTATTTTTTCTTTGTAAAGAAAACATATCTAAATTATGCCAAAAACATTACAAAAACAAAATATTTTATAATTGTGTTATTACATAAAAGAACTTAGCGTACTGCAGCCATGTGCTATGTGTCACTAAGTATCATAGATTGATTAAAGTAGGGTATTAGTGTACTTGGTTAATAAATAATACAAAAGGAAAAAGGAATAAATTCAAATAATTTTATTTCTAGATATTGTCCATTATTAAACTTTTTTAGCAATCTATTATTCAGTATTTCCCACTTCCCTGTTAAATCTAAATGAAATTGAGCTTCTTTTATTTTTCAGAATATTACACAAGTTATATATGAATACTTTCTAGGCTGAATATTTCTTATATTCCAATCACTTAATCTCAATTTGCATTCATTGATGTGTGTGTGTGTGCATGCAGGCATGCACACATGTGTTCACATGTGTTGAGTAAATTTATGTATTTTATAGGCATGTGTATTGACAACATACAGTCACAAATCATTTCAATCCAATCAAACCACTTTGCGCATTAGAGTAATTAGTTTAACTAAATTATCATATTACAGTGAAATATCAAATAAAATTTAGACATACATAATAAACACTAAAATAAACGTGCTTCGGTGTCATAAAGGATGAATCACTAGAAGGATTGGAATAGCCTCCTACTGGGAACTAGTAGTTCCCAGTATCTATTGTTCCCATGTTTATTTCCATGTGTACTCAATGTTTAGCTCCCACTTATAAGTGAGAACATGCAGTATTTGGCTTTCTGTTACTCTGTTAATTCATTTAGAATAATAGCCTCCAGCTGCATCTTTGTTGCTGCAGAAGGATATAACTTCATTCTTTTTTTATTTTTAAGTGGATATATTACTTTACATTTCTACCAGCAATGGTTGAGAGTTTCAGTTCTTCACAAATTGTCAACACTTGTTATTGTCAGTCTTTGTAATTTTAGTCAACCTAACGGGTATATTGTAGTATTTCATTATGATTTTAATAATGTTGATTAATTATGTCTAATGGCACTCAACATCTTTTTTGCATTGGCCATTAATACGGCTTGTCATTTGGAGTATCTAGAAAAAACTTTTTCCTTTACATTTGCAAATGTATTTATTGTTTTATCTTATTTTATTGAGATATAAGAAGTGTTCATTTATTTGTCAATACAAGTCAGTTGTCAGATTTATGTTTCACATTTTCAAAAATTTTATCTTTTACCTTTATGTTTTCTTAAAAATAATTTTTGAGAAACAAAAATTTGTTTTTAAAAATGTTGACTATGACTATTTTATTAATTTTTATTTTATTGTTTCCACTTTGTATCTTATTTAAGAAATCTTTAACTCAATTTTGATTTCATCAATAGTCTATAGTTTTACCTCTTATATTTAGTTCTGTGATCCATTGTAACTTAATTTGCATACATTGTAAGTAAAGGTCTAAATTCATAGTTTTTTTTTTTACAAAGATATCAAGTTATTTCAGCACCATAGGTTGAAACATCTTTTTCTTATTAAATGACTTTATCATTTTTGTCAAAATTTAATTGACCATTGTTTGTATTTATTTAGTAGACTCTTTTTCTGTTTCATTGATTGGTATATCTACCCTTAAGCCACTCTCTTGATTAATGTAACTTTACATAGTAAATCTTGAACTTAAGAACGTATGTTAAGTTTTTTTCATAACTTAGAGAAAATTAGAAAACCTAACATTAAACTCCCACCTGGACGATGACAGATGCCTAGATGTTGTTTCATAGATAATCAGGTATGCCATATTCTACCTCACATATTTACTGAACCTCAGTGTCCTCAGTAGAAATTTGTGTTTGTGATTCCTGTGATAGAGTCTACTGATTTTCTCTAACACTAGGACATATATAGAAATGTGATAAATTGACCATTTTTCTTGTTACATGTCTTGTTGTTGCCTCACAAAGAGTGGGATCAAGTCCCATCTAAAATTTGATTTAGATGTTAAAAATGAAAATGCCACTTATGCATCAAGAATATTAAAAGTTTTATTATTCAAATCATGGGGCTTTCTGTGAAGAGTAGGCAGACTCCCAAACTGATCTGAAATACAGCTTGAGACCTGAAAGTGGTGCAAATTGTTAAGGAATAGGTCTGTGGTGAGGTTTCCTCCTCCAGGTGAGGCCTCACATGATTTGAACTTCCCTCCAGCACCAAAGGAGTGAGATACCAGACTATCTTATCATCTTGCCCATATGTGAAACAAAGAGGGGCAGAGAGAGAAGTGTAGCTTGAAAGCTATCAGCAGTTAAATATGTAAATGGAGACAGACTCTTTATCATAGTTACAATTGAAACTAATTCCAATCTGTTAACAACTTAAAAATTAGAGTCTAGGTTTGTCTAACGTGGAGTAGTACAATGAAAGCTTTAAAAAGGAAGAAAAAATGGAGCTGATCATCACTTTTCATAATATGTGGTTCTCATAATTTAGAGGAGATCCTTAGAGCTATTGTTTTCAAATGTATGTTTTGTTGGACAACTGAATAGAAAGCATTTTTTTTAATAGTAAGTACCTTGATCTTGAATCAGGGTATTTGTGTTGTTGTTTGAGATTTACTACAAATAATCTATGTAACCTTGATCATAGGATGCATTCTTTATATGAAAGCGTATTACTTGAGGGACAGCTCTACAAAGTCAGCAAAAGTTTAAACTTATTACAAGTTAATGATTTTATGTCCAATTCATAGATATAAATAAAGCTTTGAAAAAAAATGAAAAGAAAATTGAAACATTTTCTTTGATTATTTTAAGAAATACTCCAGTGAATAATTTCAAGCAAACACAGCATGATTATTTAGAAAGCAGGGCATAGAATACAGCAGTTAATTATGGGCAGGTTAAACTTTCATTAACCATGGGTAAAAAACAGTAGAAATTATTTTCTGTGCTATTTTAAAGAAATACATCAAGAAAGATGATCTAATTAGGAATAATCAAAATTGATTCATCAGAGGGGGAAAGATTGTGATTTAAACTTTGCTAAATTATTTATATTAGGAGATATAGAAAGATGGCAATTTTCATTTGGGGGTATTTAAAATGTTCTGAAAAAGCTAGAGTAAAAATCTGCTCAAATAAAAATGAGAAAAAGTGGTTAGGAATAAGATAGTAAGACTAGGTTTTCAGTTTTCTTCATTGCCACCCAGAACATTTGAATTATTTAATTGCTAAAAAGTATGCAAAATGCCAGCATTCTACCAAAGTTTTTAGAATTAATGGCATCACATTTAGCAGCCTTAAATCCCTTAGTTGATTTCCTAGTGCACAAAATTGTAATAAGAAAAATATATTATAATAAACTTGGAACAAGACACAAAATAGAAAATGTTACTGAGCAATGATGGAAATATACTCAATTGGTGTTAATTTCTTTGCCTCTCTCTAACTACTTCCACACTCATTATCATGCCCCAAGCATTATAACTATCAAAATCACTTCTTTAGAGAGTGTGTAGTATAGAAAATTATGATATTTTGTGATACATTCCTCACGTGCACATGTTCCCTAGAACTTAAAGTAATATATATGTATATATGCATGTGTATATATGTATATATATGTGTGTGTATATATATGTATATATATGTATGTGGGTATATATATATATTCTCTTCTTGTGTTAGTTCTTGCAGCATGGAAGTTTGTTTTTTTTTTTAAATGCTAGGATACAGTATAATGCATACCTTGGAGGCAAAAGCAGTATAGATTTATGCTCTATCAAATAAAAATATCAAGGTTAAAAATAAGCTACCATGTTGGGTTACTCTAGTCTGTCAGTCCTATCTACAGGAAACTGAATTGAAGGGGGAAGAAACAATTATAAAAAGTGAGACTTGCAGTGGATGTGTAATAAAAATTGTGGTGCTACTTCTTTCTGAGAAAAGTATAAGTGTAATAATGGAGGCATTCCAGAGAGAGCAAGGTGTTTTCTTCAAGAACAATATAGATGCTAGTTATGGGCAATGTAATGATTAAAGGGGCCTGTTTAATGTCAATATTTCATTTGAAATGCAGTGAATAATGAGCTAATTGCCCCAGTGAGTGGAATTGCTGTTTAATTCTCTCACAGGAGGGAGAAAAGAAGTGGATATAAATAAAATAGGAAAACAATTGTAGCTCAGAAACGCTAAGTATAAGTTTCCTCCAGAGGCCCCTCTTTCTTACCTGAGAACCTAAAGCTATTGGTGTTGAGTTCACCATGGGAACGCCTTCATAAAGTGTAATGAATACTCATTAATAGTTCTTATGGGGATGTTCATCTGCTTAGGATTTAAGAAAACAATGGAGGTAATCACTAGGAATTCATAGGAGATTGTTTCCTCAATTCATTACCTGTCATTTTCTTCATAATTACAAAATCATCTCTGCAATGCAGTTTAGTTACGTGGATTTCTGATGATCAGATAAAACACTGAAAACTTCAATATAGAGGCCTGAAAACCCAGAGGAAATTTGATTGTTTTTTCCTTTTCTGTTTTTCTCTTTTAAATAGATACTTGCATCGTAAGAAAAAATCCTGAACTGGAGGTTATTTCGCTATTTCAAAATCAAAATAATTAAGAAACCCTTATTATAAGAATACTTATTGTTTTTAATAACTATAATAGCTTAAATTTATTGATTACTTGCTACATGTTTATACTCTTCTGAGACTTTTAAGCCTCACAACAGCCTCATAGAATAGGTGATGTTTTTATCCTCTTATACAGGTAAGTAAACTAGGATACAAATAAATTATCTTCCAAACAAGTTTATGAGTGGCAAATACTGAATTTAAATTCTTTAATGACTTTACTTGTTCTCTACTCTACTGAAAGATTATTAAATATTAATAATAAAATAATGTTTTAATATGGAAATAGACTGCTTCAGTTTGTTGTGTTAAATAACATATCAAAACTTTTAAGATTAAGATTAGTGTCACATTAAAAATTACTTCCTTTTCATTTGGATAATAATAAGCTGTGTTTAGTTAAAATATAGAGAAATCAACTACCTAAACTCACAATCAGTAGTGCCAGCCCCTGTTTATATATAAACACAGTAGAAAAAAATGTGGTGTGCTTTCTTAGTATTATTCTTATATGTTAGTTAACATATTAATATTACAATGAGAATTGCTTGAATTATGAGAGTACATCTACTTAAAACTATCTAGAGAGGCAAACATCACATAGAAACTCTACAATTGTTTTTAAATCTGTTCCTCTTTCAATTTAACATGCATAAACTGTAAG
Source organism: Homo sapiens (assembly GCF_000001405.40). Classification (NCBI taxonomy): domain Eukaryota; kingdom Metazoa; phylum Chordata; class Mammalia; order Primates; family Hominidae; genus Homo; species Homo sapiens. The sequence goes on along the minus strand of NW_003315915.1, from coordinate 42,441 downwards.
CCAAGGACTTTGCTTCAATTAATTTTTTAAGTGATGATGAAATCAAATTGGGTTACCTCTTGTGGTAGTTTTAAAGTATATCCAAAAATTCTTTGGTATCCTTCCTTTTAAAATGTGGACACAAAGTCCAGCTTGAATGTAGGCTGGACTTTGTGTCTCTAAGTAAATATAATATGGCAAAAATGATATTGTATGATTGTCAAGAGTAGAATATAAATGGCATTGATGCTGCTGTTCCTTCTTCTCATTCATGATTGCTCACAGTGGGGGCCTGTTACCAAGTAATGAAGACACTCAACCCTGAGGAAGACCCATATGGGACTAAACTGTTGGTAGGTTGAGGGTCTTACCAATAGCCAGCAAAAACCTGCCAGCCATGTCAGTGAGCCACCTTGGAAGCAGATCTTCAGCCTTCATCATGTTTGTTATCTCAGCTAACAATTCAATTTAACTGCAACTTTAAGAGAGACACTGAGACAGAACTTCCCAGTTAAGCTGCTCCTGATTCTCTAAGCTACAGTAACTATGAGCTACTATGTACTTACTGTGGTTTCAGCCTCTATGTTTATGAATATTTCTTTTATTCAGCTATTAATAATTGGTACATTTCTGCTCTCAGCTATATAATAGTTTTCTAAAATTTTATCAGCAGGTATTCTGATACATATTATTTTAATTTTTTTAACTTTTAAGTTCAGGGTAAAAGTGCAGGTTTATTACATAGGTTACCTGTGTCATGGAGGTTTGTTACACAGATTATTTCATCACACAGATATTAAGCCTAGTACCCATTAGTTATTTTTCCTGATCCTCTTCTGCCCCCCACTCTTGATCCTCTCCACTCAAGTAGATCCCAGTGTCTGTTGTTCCCTTCTTTGTGTTCATAAATTGTCATCATTTAACTCCCACTTACAAGTGAGAACATGTAGTATTTGGCTTTCTGTTCCTGTGTTAGCTTGCTAAGAAGAATGACCTCCCGCTCCATCCATGTCCCTGCAAAGGACATGATCTTGTTATTTTTTATGGCTGCATAGTATTCCACCGTGTGTATATACCACACTTTCTTTATCCAGTCTATCACTGATGGGCATTTAGGTTGATTTCATGTCTTTGCTATTGTGAACAGTGCTGCAGTGAACGTTTGTGTGCATGTGTCTTTATAATAGAATGACTTATATTCCTTTGAATATATACGCAGTAATGGAATTGCTGGATTAAGTGGTATTTCTAAATTATTATTTATGCCAACTGATTTTAAGTATTGTATAGTTGATGACTACTGGTTGTATAATTTTGCATTGTTCAAGTGCTTAGCGTATAGGTTTTATAATTCCCATATTTGCAACATGTCATGGTTTTATTCATTATTTATGTTTCATTTAAAAGTATTCCTTTGCTATGCAGAAATTTTAAGTTTGATGCTGCCCCAATTGTTTATTTTTCCTTCTGTTGTTTGTGCTTTTGGTGTCATATCATAGCCAAGACCAATGTCAAAGATATTTTCTCCTGTGTTATAGGAATTTTATAGTTTCAGGTCTTACTGTTTTGAGTTCATTTTTGTGTGTTGCATAGGAGTTTTATTTCACTGTTGTGTAAGATAAGAGTTTAATTTCAGTATGTAAGATAGAAGTTCAATTTAATTTTCTGTGTTGTGTAAGATAAGAGTTTAATTTCATTTTATTCTGTTTCATTGGCCTGTGTGGATGTTTTATGTCAAAACCATACTGCTGTTATTACTATAGCTTTGTAATATAATTTGAAATTAAGAAGTGTAATGCCTCCAACTTTGTTTTCCTTTCTCAAGATTGTTTTATCTATTTGGGATCTTTTGGGATTCCATATACATTTTAAGATTCTGTTTTCTTTATTTCTGTGAAAAATGCAATTGGAATTTTAACAGGGATTGCATTGAATCTGTATATTACTTTGGGTAATATGGACATTCTGACAATATTAACTCTCCGAATTCATGAACACAACAGATCTTTCCATTTATTTGTAACTTCTTCAATTTCTTTCATCAAAGTTTCATATTTTTCAGTGAACATATTTTTCACCTCATTGGTTAAATTTATTCCTATATATTTTATTATATTTGATGTTATTGTAAATGATTATTCTCTTAATTTTTTGGATAGCTTCTTATTGTATAGAAACACAACTGATTTTTTGTATGTTGCTTTTGTATCCTGCAACTTTACTGAATTCATTTATTAGTTTTAACAATTTTTAGGGACTATATAGGGTTTCCTATATATAATGTTATGTTGTCTGCAAATGGAGTCAGTTTACTTTATCGTCTCTAATTTCAATATTTATTTTTCTTACCTAATTGCTTTGATTAGGACTTTCAGCACTACGTTGAAGAGAAGTGGTGAGAATGTACACCCCTGTCTTGTTCCTGATCTCAGAGGAAAAGCTTTTAGCTTCTCACTATTGACAATAATATTGGCTGTGGGCTTGCCAAACATGACCTTTCTCATACTGAGGTACATTCATTCCATACCTAATTTGTTGAGAATTTTTATCTTGAAAAGATGTTAAATTTTGTCAAGTACATTTTCTGCGTCTTTTGGGATGATTATATGATTCTTATCCTTTATTTTGCTAATGTGGTATGTCACATTTATTGATTTGCATACATTGTAACATCCTTTCATCATAGGGATGGAAGAAAATATTTGCAAGCCATGTATCTAATAAGGTGTTAATATCCAAAACATACAAGGAACTCATACAACTTAATAGCAAAAAACCCAAATAACCCAACTAAAAATTGAGCAAAGGACCTGAACAGAAGTTTTTCCACAGGAAAAAAATACAAATGGCCTAAGTTATATGAAAAGGTGCTCAACGTCACTAATCACCAGGAAATGAAAATCAAAATCACAATGAAATATATTTTATTATGGCTAATATAAAAAGTCAAATATTACAAATGTAAAAAATGTGGAGAAGAGGGAGCCCTTGTATGCTGTTGGTGGAAATGTAAATTAGTATAGCCATTAAGAAAAAAAAAAAAAAAACACAATGGAGGATCCTTAAAAAGTTAAAAATAGGCCGGGTGTGATGTCTGTAATCCCAGTACTTTGGGAGGCCGAGGAGGGCAGATCACGAGGTCAGGAGATTGAGACCATCCTGGCTAACAGGGTGAAACCGGTCTCTACTAAAAATACAAAAAAAAAAAAAAATTAGCCAGGCATGGTGGCAGGTGGCTGTGGTCCCAGCTACTCGGGAAGCTGAGGCAGGAGAATGGCGTGAACCTGGGAGGCGGAGCTTGTAGTGAGCCTAGATCAAGCCACTGTCCCCCAGCCTGGACAACAGAGGCACGACTCCATCAAAAAAAAAAAAAAAAGTTAAAAATAGGACTGTCATATGAGCCATCAATCCTCTGTTGGATATGTTTGCCCAAAGGAAATGAAACAAATATGTCAGAGAGATGTCTTCACCCCATATCCATTGCAGGATTATTCACTCTAGTCAAGATATGGAAACAATCTAAATAACTATAAACAGATGAATGTCTAAAGAAATGTAAGACATAGACAAACACACACAGTGGAACATTATTTAGCCTTAGAAAAGAAGAAAATTCTGTCATTTGGTGCAACATGGATGAACCTGGAGAACATTATGTTGCGTGTAATAAGCCAGGCCCAGAAAGACAAATACTGCATGATCTCATATGAAGCTCATACAGAAAGTACAAAGTATAGATAGAAAATGCTTGTGGTGGGAGAAATAGAGAGATATCTAAAGCATACAAAATTTTAAAAGGTAACTATGTAGGCAATGGGAATATTATGGGAATATTAATTAGCTTGATTTTTCTTTTTCATTCTTTTTTTTTTTTTTTTTGTGAGACAGAGTCTCCCTCTGTCACCCAAGCTGGAGAGCAGTGGCATGATCTCGGCTCACTGCAATCTCTGCCTCCTGGGTTCAAGTGATTCTTGTGCCTCAGCCTCCCGAGTAGCTGAAATTACAGGTGTGCGCCACCAGTCTTAGCTAATTTTTTTTTTTTGGAGAGGTGGGGTTTTGTTATCTTTTGTTATGTTGGCCAAGTTGGTCTCTAACTTCTCACCTCAGGTGATCTGCACATCTCGGCCTCCCAAAGTGCTGAGATTAGAGGTGTGAGCCACCATGCACCACCGCTTAGCTTGATTGTGGTATTTATTTCACAATGTGTAGGTATATTAAATCACACTGTACACCTTCAATATATACAATGTTCTTTTGTCCATCATTTCTTAATAAATCAGGAAAAAATTGATATCATTAAGTAAACGAGTTTAATTAAAAGATGGTAAATAATTACTGCTTTAAAATACAAATAAAATATACCTAAAAATCATCCTCATTTATTTTATATTTTGTTTTCCATAATGCTATGGACTTTTAAGATTATTCTTTAGAAAACTAGAATACTTGAGTTTCACATAAATCTATTTGGTTCCCAGGCTGGTGAATGGCTATAACCAGCGCTGACACAAATTTCCATTATATTCTTTGGTCAAAGCAGTAAGTGGCCTGCTAAAATTAGAGAAGATATAGATTCCATCCAGCTCTGGGTAAATTGGAAGGTAACACTGCAAAAAAGCATGTGGCTTGGGAACTATTATATCTGTCTTTATTAAAACAATTTGCCAAATTATACTCATAAAACTTTGAATGATGTAAGAACCATAATGTGTAAATTAAGAAGAATAAGAGATGCCATCCCAATATTATCTATTTTTAAATGAAACAGAAATGTGTTTCATGCCAACTTTTTCCCTGAAATATTTAAGTTGTTATATGAGCTTTGATAGTAAGGAGTTATTTGCATATTTTATTATATAAGTAATTTAAAATGTATAAGAAATAAAATGATACTAGGTAAATATTAACATTTAATTTTGAAATAAATACTATACATATTAAATTGAATACTTAAACATTTATAATTAATCTTAATAATTTGGAATTTTTCGTAGAAATGATTGAGGATAGCCAGGGATCTGATATTGCAAATTATTCTCATATGAAACAATGTTATGCTTAAGTTATATGAAAAAAGAAAGCAAAATTTTAATTTTCAGCTAAAATGTAACAGACAAACCCTCTCTGACCTTCTTATTAAAACAGAAAATAATTAATAACAGACCAGAAACAAAAAAAAATATGTAAATTATGTGTCTCATAACATTATTAAAACTGTGTCACCAAATAGATAATTTCTCTGGGTTAATTATTAGCTTAATAGTTTAAAAGGCATAGTTTCTGTGTTCCAGCTTCACTTTCAATCTGTGCTAATTAACCCTCTTAAATAATTTGAGGCTACTTCCATCATACTTTAAATGGTAAAAATAATTCTTAGCAAGTACATGTAAAGCTTTATGTGCATGCACGTATTTTCACAGACAACAATAAAATAGTATGATTATCTTTAGAAGAAAGATTTCCATACTATGAGTTTTATTTTTTTAAATCTGTACTCAGTATTTTCTCAGAGAGTTGAGCATAAACCCTTCTGTAGGGTTACACTATAACCTCGTAAACCCTGGTTGTTTTGTAGAAGCATCATGTACTAACACATCTCTGGTAGATCTGAGTGAATAATTTTTACTTATTGTTGTGGGAAGTCAGGGACCCTGAATGAAGGGACCAGCTGAAGCCATGGCAGAAGAACATAAATTGTGAAGGTTTCATAGACATTTATTAGTTCCCCAAATTAATACTTTTATAATTTCTTACACCTGTCTTTACTGCAATCTCTGAACATAAATTGTGAATATTTCATGGACACTTATCACTTCCCCAATCAATATTCTTGTGATTTCCTATGCCTCTCTTTACTTTAATCTCTTAATCTCATCATCTTCATAAACTGAGGATGTATGTCGCCTCAGGACCCTGTGATGATTGTGTTAACTGCACAAATCGTTTAAACAATATGAAATCTGGGCACCTTGAAAAAAGAACAGGATAACAGCAATGTTCAGGGAACAAGGGAGATAACCGTTAGGTCTGGCTACCTGAGAGCCTGGCAGAACAGAGCTACATTTCTCTTCTTACAAAAGCAAATAGGAGAAATATCGCTGAATTCTTTTTCTCAGCAAGGAACATCCCTGAGAAAGAGAATGCATTCCTAGGGGGAGGTCTCTAAAATGGCCGCTCTGGTGGCGTCTGTCTTTTACGCTCCCAGATAATGGATGAAATAAGCCCCAGTCTCCCGTAGCGCTCCCAGGCCTATTAGGATGAGGAAATTCCCACCTAATAAATTTTGGTCAGACTGGTTGTCTGCTCTCAAACCCTGTCTCCTGATAAGATGTTATCAATGACAATGTGTGCCCGAAACTTCATTAGCAATTTTAATTTCGCCCCAGTCCTGTGGTCCTGTGATCTCGCCCTGCCTCCATTTGCCTTGTAATATTTTATTACCTTGTGAAGCATGTGATCTCTGTGACCCACACCCTATTTGTACACTCCCTCCCCTTTTGAAAATCACTAATAAAAACTTGCTGGTTTTGCAGCTTGGGGGCATCACGGAACCTGCTGATGTGTGATGTCTCCCCCGGACACCCAGCTTTAAAATTTCTCTCTTTTGTACTCTTTCCCTTTATTTCTCAGACTGGCCGACACTTAGGAAAAATAGAAAAGGACCCACGTTGAATTATCGGGGGCAGTTTCCCCCGATAATTCTCGGCTAATTCTCAGAGAGTTGAGCATAAACCCTTCTGTAGGGATACACTATAACCTCTTAAACCCTGGTTGTTTTGTAGAAGCATCATGTACTAACACATCTCTGGTAGATCTGAGTGAATAATTTTTACTTATAATAATTAGCAAAGTGCATGAATGTGCATACATGTATGTATGAGATGGCTGCATGCACATGTGTGTGTTTGTGTTCTGTGTGGGTTTTAATCCCATACTTCCCATTTCACTGTATTCAGGCCAGTTTAATAAACTAATGGGCTAGGTACTTAATTTCAGATTTCTCAGGAAAAGGACAATCAAGAGTCAAGACTCATCATTATTCTTACTCATTATTTTTATCATTAAAATTTGTATCTCTGTGGCTACTTTTTAAGACAAAAGTTTGATTAACAGTTAGCCATGTTAATTTTTAAATAGCAGAGTAATGTTATTAATTACTGCTACCTGAATGTATCCTCATTAAAGTCATATTTTGAAGCCTAAATCTCCAACATAATGATGTTTGGAGGTGGAGCTTTGAGAGGTCCATGAGGACACTGGATGGAGCCCTTCTGAATTATTATTTTTTAGCAATCTGAACTGACTAAGACAAGTACTTAGCAATTTAGTGTTTAGAATAAAAAACTCTCAAAATAAAGAAGTTAATATGACATATTACTAGCATGGACAACAATTCAGAATAAATATATGGAACTAGACAGTGAAACAAGTGACTGAAGAAAAAGCCTAATTAAAGGCTCTTGGGATTAATTTCTTGAGAAATTACCATAATGTAGAAAACTACTAGATGTTCATTTGAAAACTGATGAAAATATTCTAATTGAAATTAACAAATATTGCTTGACGATTTTAAAATTTTAGATAGCTAAATTATAATCACAAAATTTGAAATAAAGATTGGTTAAATCTTTCAAAGTTTCTCCATCCCCCATAGAGTTTCTGAAAGTCAATTTATCAATTCACATATTTTTCTTCACCATTTCATCTTGATAATGTCAATTTTTACATTTTCACATTTTCCCTTTGATTTGGTTCCTTACTTTTAACCTTCCATTTTCAAGTGCTCTTCATTTTGAGAAGCACAGCAGCATCAAAAAACAACAGGGAGGAAGTTTCCTAGGCAGCAATGAAAAGCATCATGGTAATGAAAGGGATAATTGTGGCTCCCTGCCTTTACTATAATTGAAAATTGAGTATAGAGCCTTTTTCATTTAACTTTATTGCTTGAGTTCAAACCACTGTATAGAAAAGAAAGCAACAGTAGAGTAATTTTTCTAATGTTACTTTCCTGTCCATACAACAATTTGAAACCTAGCATTAAAGTTAAACGGAAGAGGCAATTAAATTCATTCAATTACAGCTCTATGAAAGAAGTATAATTATCAGTTTCATTATTAGAAATGCATTGCTTGCCAAATATTTGCTTACTAACCTGGCTATTGATTTTCTTTATCAGATTGAAAACAGGTAAGCACTGGAGAGAATGGTCCAGTTATTTAACTTATACCAATTTCCAGAGAAAACTCTGTTACAGTATGGTAATTATAGTAGCTGGAATAATGATTTTTGAGTGCTGAATGAGCATTGTGCCTTCTATGGATATTAGGTGAATTTTATCAAATGGCATCTTTCTGTTAAAGTGTCATTAAAAACACTAATAATGCTATTTCAGAGGATAAACATGATATAATCTAGTGAAATGAGCACCATGATATATGTCAGTAATCTTCATTTTAATACTCTCTAAAACTTACTGCACTCTTTGAAAATAAAACGTCAAGTTTTAAATGTAAGTCAGATACCCTGGGTTTGAACCCCTTATAACTTCTTTTTAGCCCTATAATCTTGTGTAAACTCTTTAACCTGTTGGTGCATCATTACTAAAGTATGTACAAAATTGTTTTTAAAATATATTTAAAATTATAGACTATCACTTTTGTTAAACATTAAAAAATGGGACTGGCTATATTTCACACTTGAAATAACTAAAAATATACAAAATGTATTAAATCAATTATTCCATGCAATGGATATGAAAAGGCAGTACTCTTAGGCAACAAAAGTCTTAAACAGCAAAAGGCAGTAGTCCCTGAGAGATAGAAATAAAATAAAATGAGCACTATGATTATTCAAGCTTTCACCCTTGAGAGAATTTCTTGTCTTTGGCACAGGGAGAGGAGTCTTTGAGTAGCCCCATTGAATTGAGAAGATAAAGCTTAGTGTTTGAGAGGTTAAGGCTGCTAGGATTCACAGAGTAGAACACGAAGAAAAGAGAGCTGCACAGAGAGACAGTGCTGGAATTCTGCACAGAGTTTTGTATGAGTCTTCAGAAAAATACTGATCAGCAGTGCTCTTCCTGAACAGGAGTACGCTCCCTTCCTGTAAAGGACATAGACTAGTTCTTGTTACCACCCACCACAGTGGAAATTCTCACAATTTATGGGGCATCCAAAATTTTTTTCCTCAATAGTGAGATAAAATTATCCTCCACTAAACGCTACTCTTGCCCCACCCAACAAAGCTTAAAACCGAGAAGTGAGACTGGGCTCAGTGGCTCAAGCCTGTAATCCCAGCACTTTGGGAGGCCCAGGCGGATGGATCAGCTGAGGTCGGGAGGTCAAGACCAGCCTGACAAACATGGAGAAACCCCATCTTTACTAAAAATAGAAATTAGCCAGGCGTGGTGGCGCATGCCTGTAGTCCCAGCTGCTCTGGAGGCCGAGGCAGCAGAATCGCTTGAACCCGGGAGGTGGACGTTGCGGTGAGCTGAGATTGCACCATTGCACTCCAGCCTGGGCAATAAGAGTGAAACTCCATCTCAAAAAAATAACCAAGAAGTGAAATAATCAAATTGAGTTTAAATCACATAGCTGTATTCCAGACCAAAAAAACTCAAGTATGGCTGGGTGTAGTGGCTCACGCCTGTAATTCCAGCACTTTGGGAGGCTGAGGTGGGAGGATTGCTTAAGCTCAGGAGTTCAAAACCATCCTGGGTAACATAGCAAAACCACTTCTCTACAAAAAACAAAAAACAAAAATTAGCTGGGTATGGTGGCGTGTGCCTGTAATCCCAGGTACTCAGCAGGCTGAGGTGAGATGATCGCTTGAGCCCAGGAGGTTAAGGCTGCAGTGAGTCAAGATCATGCCATTGCACTTCTGCCTGGGTGACAGAGTGAGACCCTGTCTCAAAAAACAAATAAATAAATAAATAATATATAAAACAAAAAAAAACACTCAAGTATATGTATAACAATGCAAAATACTTAGCACCCAACAAGATAGATTGCAAAGTCTGGCATAAAGTAAAAAAGTTACTAGCCATGCAATAAAGATACAAAGTGACAACTCAAAATGGGTCCAGAAATAAAATAAATGATGAATTAGTTAATAAGGGCATTAAAAAAATTATAAAACTATGTTATATATGTTCAAGAAGCTAGAAGAAAAGAATTGATGATGTTAAGTAGTGACATGGAACATGTGAAATAAACCAAAGTAATCTCTAGAAGTGCAAAGTATGAGATGAAAAATACACAGGATGAGATTAACAGTAGATTAGATATTACATAAGAAAAGAGTAGTGAATTTAAAGAAGTAACAATAAAAACAACCCAAAATTAAACACGGAAAGAAAACTACTTTAAAAAAAGAACAAAACATAAGTTATTTGGACAATGCCAAGTGGCCTGATATATTTAATTAGAGTCCCTAAACAAGGGGGGAACAAAAAACCTTTTTTAAAAAAAAAAAAAGTCTAAAAATAACCCAAATTTGTTGAAACTATAAACACACATATCAAAAAGTTATTAAGCACAAACACAAGGAACATAGAAGAAATATACATGACCACATTGCTTACAACCAGTAAAAAGAGAGGAAAGCGTAAAAGCAAACAAAGGTAAAAAACATGACATACAGAGAAAAAAAGATAAAAATAGCAACAAATCTTCATGTAACAATGCAACCAGAAGACAGTTGTAAAATTTGAAAATATTTCAAATCACTGGCTGTCCTCACTTTTGACACCAATTTCAAGTGTGGGAGTCCCCAAGATGACCCTCAATTTTGATAATTTACATAGTGGACTCAAAACTCACAGAGAGCTCTTGTACTTAACATAGTCATGGTTTATTACAGCAACAGCAACAACAACAACAACAAAAAGATGAAAATAAAAGAAGAGATGCATGGGGAAGAGTCCAGGAAAGTTCCACACATGGAATTGTCCTCTCCCAGAGAATTTGCATACAATGCTACCTTTCCTGTCAATGTTGTGTTACAATGAACATGAAGAGTATTGCCAACCAAGAAAGCTCCCCAGCTCATTGGTGTCTAAAGACTTTACTGAAACTTGATCATGGGGACATGGTTAACTGCTCACATGGATTACTTCAAGTCACAGCCCCTCCAGAGATCAAACTGATACTGCATAAACTACAGCTCCCACCATAAATTACATTGTCAGAATAATGGGCATTGCCCAATGCTCCCAGCTAAACAAAGACAGTTTTCAGCAGGATGTTCCAAAGGTTTAGATGCTACTTTTCATGAGTGGAGATCAAAAACTAGATTTCTTCTTGGGCAAGAAAAAGTTCTTTGGTATACAACAATGATCGAGATTTCTAAAATACATCAATCCAGAATTCTATATCAATGAAAATATCTTTCAAACACAAAAGCAGGAACTTTTTCAGACACAAAAAAGAAAGAAATTTAATAATTCTAGTCCCAAGAATAAGAAATGTTCAGTGCAATTCTACAGGCAGAGAGAAAATTATGCAAGATGAAAGTCTGTATCTACAAAAGTAGTGAAGAGCACCAGAGCTGGTAGCTATAGGAGTGATAATTTTTTTTCTTATTATTTAAATCCCTATGAAAGATCATTGATTTTTTAAATTAAAATAATAAAAATGTATTATGGGGTTTATAACATATGTATAAAAGTGCACAACAACCATAGCACAAAGGCTAAGAGAAGAGAAATAAAGTATACTATTGTTCCCCCAACAAAGCTTAAAAACACAAAGTCAAAAGACCAAACCTTATATGACATACAATTCTCATATTTTACATGAATTACTATAATATCACTTGATGGGAGACTTTAAAAAGTTTGAAATGTGGAGCATAAATCCTAATGCAGCTACTAAAACAACACCTTTAAGAGTTACAGCAGATAAGCTAAGAAAAATAAAATACCCAGTCTAAAATAAATAATAAATTTATATAAAAATAATAACTTTCTCAAAATATTTTTTAGGATTAAACAAAATGATGCATTTGAAGTACTCAGCCGGGTCCCTTCTTACTACATTGTAAATGCTCAATTTGTTATTTTTAGTTACTCATTTTAAGTAAATTCTATCACTTCTAACCTTCAGCTCACTCTTCTAAGAAAAGGAAGCAGTCCCAGTGTATATCTCCAAGGTCAATCACAATTGAAGTATTTTACTGTTGTTGCTATGTTGCTTTTTTTTTTTTGAGGGAGGGGGGTGGACAGAGTCTTGCTCTGGTTTGAGGTTTGAGGTTAGCTCACTGCAACCTCCACCTCCTGGGTTCAAGCAATTCCCACACCTCAGCCTCCAAATAGCTGGGACTACAGGTGCGTGTCACCACCCCTGGCTAATTTTTGTATTTTTAGTAGAGATGAGGTTTCACCATGTTGGCCAGGCTGTTCTCAAACTCCTGGCCTCAGGCGATCCACCCCTTGGCCTCCCAAAGTGCTAAATGCCTTTTACCAACATCAGGATTCATTTCACCCTATGTACATTTATATTTATATCACATGGCAAACTTCTTAATTTTACTCCCGTTAATTTAGACATATAAATACTTTGTTAGATGATATTTGGTAGATCTCAGAATAATTGGGAAGATAAAACTCATGTTCAAAAAATTGGCCCAAATTTAGAAGTTTTAGATGGCAGGGAACACAGACAAAGTCACCTAAAGAAAACATTCTGTGGAAGCCCCTGCCTCTGCAGATGCTAATGTCATTTTGAACATCACTGACTCCCATTGCTGAATACAGCTTATGCTGCTATTGTATTTCCACTAGAAGGACTAGTTCTCAAATCTGCTTCTTTAAATTGCTTGTTCCAGGTTAAAAATCCTGAGTAGGATCAGCAGATTGAGTCTGTCATTTGTCTGTAGCTCTCTGGAATTTGCGCTGGTGCGTGAATGTGGGTGTGTGGTTAGAACAAACAAGTAGACTTCCTAGCTGTTGTATTAGATGATAGCTTTTATGTTTCATCAGTCCTCATTTTGTGTAGAATCACTGCAAAATTCAGAAAGTTTACAAATTTTGGAACCCATAGTAAAATCTATTACAAGATTCAATTCATTTTAATCTGTTTCCACCCCCAAATCTAATATATTCCTTTTCCTGTAATACTTCTGAAATAAAAATAAAATTTATTGTCCATAACATATTGCCACACTCAACCCAACATATGCTTACTCCCCTTACCCAAAGGAAAAATACCCAAAGTATCATCAAAGGACCCAATAGCATGTCCAGGTACATGCCCCATATTTCTTGGTGACATACTTATCTATTTCTGTTTAAAGAAAAGAAATTACCTCAAGTATGTAATATATACACGAAACTAAAGAGAAGATGATCTATGAGTGTCAAAAAGTCCTCATTTCTGCAGTTGATTACAAACCTATAGCCTTGCTTTATGGTGCTGAACCTCTCACCCCTTTCTACATTCTCTTTGTTTTCAAGCAACACCCAGGTGGCCTAAGTTTTTCACGTAATACAGTGACTGAAACTTTCATTGCTGAGATAACTGATATCTTTTTGTTAGGGTCTCTGTATAAAGGCGAATTATTTCCATGACATTTTGCACTAGTCATTGGTAGAATAAAGGAAGACCTCAAGACGTTCCCTTTTCTCCTCTTCATACTTCTTACGGCCAGTGTTACAGTCCTACGCTGTCCCTGATTTTAGCCAGACTTGCTCCTGAGACAATGGTAACACCCTCTTCTAGTTTTTCTTTTTCATGCGTATTTAAGAGATGAAAGTACCAAAAGAACTAGGTAGAATCTTCTCTTCTAAATTAAAAGGAATCCTATTGTCTCCTATTTGAAACATTACCCTTCTAATTGCTAAAACATTTAACTCTATAGCACCCCTAGATGCTGGAAGAGGAGGTAATAATTTTGGAAAGAAATCACTGGAGAAAATCATAAAATGTATCAGCTACATTTCTGCTCCATTATGTACCTATAGTATTTGGGATATGAAAAAAACAGCACCAGTTTGTCCAGAGCATGCAATTCATTCTTCAAGATGTCATCCCAAACTTTGAAGGAATCTTAAATGTAACATTTCTCTTTTTTCATGATTTGGCATCATCTGAGTGAATTAGAACATGAATTAAGCAGTGCATTCCATGGGCATAAGCTATTGCCTTACTTTGTTCACTGCAGAGTTACTATTTTTAAGTAGTGCTGCTGTGTGGGATATCATAATATATGTAAAATATCCTACACTTAACAACATGATAGAATTAAAAAGCCTCTTTATGATGGCATGGGTCCAAAGCGATCAACTATCTCTTCTTTGTAGAGGAATATGATATTCTATCAGCTGCTTTGCTTTGGTCACTGCTGCTGGACTATTAAGTAACTTTAAAACAATAACCAGTTTCACCTTGGATAAGGCAGGGGATGCCGTCCACCTCACACGATCTCCACCTCTGTCAATATATACATGTAGTTAATGATTTCATTGGGTAAAATTGAGCTAGCTGTGGAAAAAATGGCTAACTTGAATCCACAGGAAGGCCATTTTTCCCTCTTTATTGGGGAATTTTTAGTAATCATTCAAATAGGTAAATACTATCCTACTCTGTATTTATGCCAAATGGTAATTTTTAAGTATGTCTTTCCCAAAACTGTTTGTGTCAACCAATCATCCTCTTACCTCTTTACTTACATGTAGAATTTCTTGAAGGAATCAGAAAGCCAGTAGGTCAAACCCTTCATTTGATGAAGATACCTAGGCTGAATACTCAGGAAATTTCAAAGCAAGATGCTTGGTATTCTGTTGGATCCAATTGCCATACTCCATTATTTTAACCAGTGGAAAGTAGCAAGTAGTGGTCTTTGGTTCTCCAGAAATTAATGTCAATATCTGGGAAACATTAAGGTATTTTCTTTTCATAGTGCAATGTGAAATTGATAAATAGCCATAAGTCATTATGCTGGATCTGAGAATTGAGTAAGAAACCATGATTGTCTGCCACAGTGGCTCAAAGCCAGATCTAACCCTCTTACCTGATTCTTTTCTTGTTGTTTATTATAAATAAGTATGACCTTGTAAGACATCTATTTTATTCTAATTGACTACAAGACCAATTAGCTCAAAACAAAAGTCAATGTGAATCGTAATTTGAATTTACCATTCTGTCTCTATTGCTTATTATGGTAATTATTTCAATCGTACCTCTGGCAGTTAAGTGTTATTACTTTCCTTCTAACACCTTAGGATTCTCTTTCATGCTTATTGAAATCCTTGGCCTAAAATATTTCTCAATATGATGTTGACGTAACCTTCCCCAATATATTTCTTAAGGTCCTGATAAAAAGTTGTCCACTTTTTCTCTTGGGGCTTTTCATCATTTTTATTATGTGCATTAGCATGACTATTGCTAATAGTTAGAAATATTATAATTTACAATATATTTATACATATGTAATCCACATATATTATTTATATAGACATATACAATATATACTATTTAATTCTCACAATAGACCCAGGAGAAAAGTAACTTTATTAACTCATTTTATAAAGAAGAAATGCAATGACTTGCAAAAACTTATAAATTTCAGAAAAGAATGTACATGTCACATATGTTAAAATCACTCCAGCATTCCCATCCTCCATACTCTTTGTATTCTTTCCTTTGCTAATATTAAAGAATGTTTGGCGTCTCAACTTAATTTGCTCAGCACCATAGGTGAATTGGGTTTCAGTCAACCAACCAAGCAGGGAAGAAAGCAATTAAAACTGCTCCCAGCTATTCCAGTTCGCTCATTAGGAAAAACAAAAACAAACAAACAAACAAAAACCCTCTGAGTCCATGAATCTCAACCATTGAGGCACACTATAGTTACTTGTGAGGCTTGTAAAAATTATTAATGCCCAAGTCACACTCCAAATCAATTAAATTAAGGTCTCTTGGGTGGATACCCAAGCATAGATTTTGAAAAATTTTCTGGAAAGGGAGATACCGCCTAATCAACTAGGTAATAAACGGTTACTTGTAAGGGATAAGAGGATGAGTTGAAGTGTATGGTTGTATCACATCTTCTGAAATTCTCAAATACATGATTCTAAGGATCTCATTCCTTCTCACTTTTTCCCTGAGCATGTCCTAACTGTTAAAGTAAGCATCTGGCAAGACTGTGAGTGCAATCAATGCTATCCACCCAATCAGTGGGAACAAACTGTGCATTTGGGTTTTGGTTAATCAGCCCTATGGCTGTGACAGATAGAGGTCTATTTAGCACAGATAGAGATTATCTCAAGGATTTATCACACAATATTTTCAAGGCTGTGTTATCTTTTATAAATGGCCACTCTGACCCATGGTCTTTGAATTACTAGCACACTTTATTCTCTATGGCAACAGACATGTGTTTCCCAGAGTCTCATCTTTAATAGACACTTCAGTAAAGTGTCCCACTGCTAGGTACCCATTAGCAATAATTTATTTTTCTATTTTGTGACTACATGCCATGGAATGACTATACCTTTTAATACTGAAGGGGATTTTACTGCCTTTATCACCAACTAAGCCAAATAATCAAGCTCTTTCTCCCCCATATTCCTGAAGTTTTGTCATCTACAGACCCACTACATACATCTTTCTACCCATGTTGTAAAAGTTAGAAAGAGCTTTTCATTAAGTAGATTGTTTCTTAAGTATTATGGCTTCCTAAAGTTTTCTCTCAATCCGCATTTCTAATGCAACTCTTTCATTTTAACTTTCATAACTTTACCCCTTTATATGTATTCAGTTCTTCTTCTTATAAATTGTCTATTCCACTGAATTACTAGTTAGCTTGTGAAAATAAGATAAACGTCTAATTTTTTGTATCTATATCTCAGATAGTTTCTGCTGTATGATTTTGCAGGTAAAAATGTTTGGCAGTTGTGGCAGCATTTATTCAAAGCTGGGTCTGCTGAGAATGAATAAATATTAGGATGTAAATGGACTAAATAGAGAGTAGAAATGTCCATGTAACAAAGGAAAACAAAATGGACATTTTATACAATCAATAAATGCTAATAGAAAATGTGAAATAACAATGGTAAAACACCCAATTAATTATTTATGTGGGTGTGTTTATGAGATACCACTCAGAAGGAATTACAGGTTTTTAAGAACATAAAAATAATCACCTGGGCAAATAGTTGCCAGATGAAGCACTCAAAAACTATTGCTCTTCTGAGACTAGAGTATTTTGTGGGGCAATTGAGACTTTTTCTGGATTTTGGTAATAATAGTAATAATTATTTATTTTTCTTTCCCTTTTTTTCCTTTTCTTTCCCTTCCATTTTCTTTATTTCCTATTTGCATATACCCCTCTATTTTTTTATTTTCAAACTTACCGTGAGAGTTCACAGTTTCTCCTTGGTCGCTTAAAGGCTAGATCTAAATTTAAATAGTAAATATTTCTTAAGGAATCTAGAACTGCCATCAGGTTCTTTAGCAGACTGGGTATCTCCAGGAATGACATTTTTGGGGTAAAATAAATAAATAAACATATAAATAGTGCTTAATCACCTAGAAAGATATATTTAATATATGAAGTGATTGTCTTTAATGCATGTTGTGCAATTGAAACTGACAATATTATTAAAGCATCCTATTTTGGACTTTTTTTTAGTTTGCAAAGTAAATGACAATCACAAATATTATTATAAAACTCTGGAAAGCACACAAGAAAGTTATCTTTACTGCTGTTTTACAGATGAATGTATTTAGTGCCAAGGAATTAAAAATTTGTACCTAAATCAAGCAAATGTTAAGTGGCTAGAGGAACATTTGGTAGAAGTTTTTCTCAAGCCAGATTCAGGCTCTGCCTCCATAGTACTAAACAGATTCATGGGCACATGGCCATTTGTCCAAGTGCTGGTGAAAATGACAGGCAGTTTAAGAATAGTTGTAGGAAAAGGGAGAATAGCTCAGAGAAAATACTCCTAAAATTTTGCCTGTTGGCTTTTCTATGGAAGAGTAGAAGTTTCTTTTTTTTTCTCTCCAGTGGAATACCCCCAGTAGAAAAAAATAAAAATCGTTGTGTATTGAATACATAATAAGCCAATGCTGTCTTTAATACTTTTCAGGAAGGGAAATATAAAACAAGACAAAATATTTGAATACTAAAACAAAAATAGAAAAAAAGTAGAAAATATGTTAGCCTTCTTTCATGTTGCTTTAGTCTGTCTTCTTTTATGTATACATAGTCTATATCATTTTGGTTATTGTGGTTATAATTTCTCTTTCTGTATTTTTGTTCTAGCTAATTTAGTTGTTATTTTTAGTTGGCAGTAAGCTTTAATAAGCTATTTGATCATTCTTGCTTTTCATGTCTGTAGAAGATTTGTTTTATTTATTGTTACAATGTTTTGAATCAAGTTTTGCCTGGAAAATCTTTTAAGGCTAATGAGTCATAATATTTTTGTTGGGCTATTATACATAGATGAAACATTTCCTTGATCCTACATTCACTACTCAAAGTTCTTTCCTTCAATTATTTATAAATATTAATTCATCATTTTACTATATCTGGAGATGCTGTTAGGAAGTTTGCCGTAAATCTGATTTTTGTTCTTTTAAAAGTGATTTCCTATTTCTTTGTTTTTCTTTGACATAAATTTTATCATGTTTTCTATATTCTGACTACTTTTAATTTGAAAACTGTTATCTTTCTTTAATTCTTGAAAGTGTGTATTCATTAATATGTCAAATGTTGTGTCTCCTTTTTAAAAACCATTTTCCCTATTTGGGAATATGTATAACCCTCCTCAGTATTTTTATCCTATATTTAATATCATTTCATCATTTTCTGCTACTTTTTGGTGGAAACGTGCTTCAATCTGATTTTTCAGTTACTCACTTTTTTTCAGTGTATTAATCCTGAAAATTTTTATTTATCTATATCTTTATCCATTAATACAGAAAGATAATTTCCAATGCTGTATAATTTAAACACGACAGTTCTACTTAGATTTTTTTCTATTTCCCAATCTTATTTTATTGTGATAAAATCTTCTTTTTTAACTTAAATGCATTGATTTTTTTGTTGTTTTAAGTTATCATCTGTTAGTTACAGTATTTCAACTTCAGATGGACTTCATTGTACAGTTTTTTCTTCAGGCATTATATTTTGTGGTGTCTAGTATTTTGGTGTGAGCTCATATTGCCCTTGGGGAAATCGACTATTTTGTAGATAGTGATATAGGACATATTTTGAAGCCTAAATTCTGATCTGTGTCTGCCTTAGTGAATTTAAAGACATAGAAAGCAGAGAGGCATAGGCATCACTCCCACAAGACAGACATTTGGTTGCCACTCTACCAAGTAACCCTTCAGGTTAGATTTCACCTTCGGCATTTAGAAGCAGCAGTTTCATTTCCAATCTACCAACCCTTAGAGATTAGAGTGAGAGTGATAGCAATAATTCCTGAAGGCAGCTAGACATTCCACATATATTTTCATCAACTCTTCCCCCACAAAAGGGATGCCTGACATGACATTGACTGGGCTTGCAATTTGGGCTTTAAGATCATGATTTATTTTTCTCTTTTTCCTTGTAACATTACTTAAATGTTGCATCTCTACATAGAGAAGGGTTTACTGGAGTTACTACCATCCCTGCATCCCATAAACTTCCCTCCTGAAATTTTTTCTCTGTTATTCAAAATGGTGTAGCTCAGTGGCATATATTGGAACCCTTGATTTACTTTGCATAGCCAATGTTTGTGATGCTCTCTTCTTAATAGAACGCTATCAAACTAGGGTTCTTCCATGAGCATTACAAAACTAGCAAAGGCTTTGAAATAGAAACTTCTCAGTTATATTCCTATCTGCAAGTAATATGCTGTCCTTCTTAGAAGAGAGGAAGCACTACAATCTGCAGGCCCAGCCCTACGTTTTGCAGAGTTAATGGCAGGAGTAAAAATGGAGGCACGGAGACATATCTAAAGATTTAACATTTATAAACAAAGCTAACAAAGGCTGTTAAATGACATATCTTCTATCCTCTTTCCTTGAACATTTACATATAAATGTGTAAAGCTTTTTTAAGTAGCTTTAATAGCTAAATGCTATTTTAAATAGCTTTAAAGTTAAAAATGTAAAATAAGGCTGAATTTTAAAAATTTTGTGCACATATGAGTGTTTTGCTGTTTTGCTGGTGATGTTTGAATGGATAATAAAATAAAAACATAATAAATTCATAAAATCGTATGCTTTTATTCTGTGCATATTATTTTTTCTTGCTTTTATTTTATGTCAGAAATTGGGTACATTAAAGATCAAATACTTTATAATCAATGGAAAGTGATGATGCAAAAATATAAAAATATAAATCTATTCAAAGAAGACAAATATTTAATTATTTAAAAAGAAGCAAATTAGAATGTTGAGATCAAAATATTACAAATGTTTAGATGTTCTCAAAGTGATTTTACTCCAAAAATTTAAAAGATTATGTTAGAATTAAAATCAAAATATAATTATAGTAGTTCCAACTTTCAAGGAAACTACATAAACTAAATTTTTACCTATTTTTGAAAGTTTAAAGAAATCTTATTGAATATTTAAAAAATAAAATTATTAACAATACTGGATCAATATCTCTCTGGCTGACAGTGTAAAGAGATTTGGCATAATGTTTCACCAATATTTTGTCTAGAAAAAACTATGAATACACATTTAAGATCATGACTTATTGTTATGACTGTTTCTCGGCATCATGTGAAATTGTAAATGTCAAGTTCACTTGTTATTACCCTCTGGAATCATGAATAAAACACAAAGAGAAGGAGGAGGTGGGGAGAGGGAAAGGAAGAATAAAAGATATTTACCACTACTGGAAGATGATTTTAAAGTTATATAAGTGCATTAATTTGTCTTTTTATGATATAAGTTCTTTCACTCAATCCTTCCTACACTCTGAAACAGTGTGCATCATCTGAATTAAGAGTAACATAATTCAAATAACTTCATAGGTTTTGGGAGAGTCACCCTGTATTAGTCTGTTCTCACACTGCTAATAAAGACATACCTGAGACTTGGTAATTTATAAAGCAAAAAGGTTTAATTGACTCACAGTTCCACATGGCTGGGGAGGCCTCACAATCGTGGTGGAAGGTGAAGGAGGCACAAAGTCATGTCTTACATAGCAGCAGGTAAGAGAGCATGTGCAGGGGAACTCCCCTTTATAAAACCATCAGATCTTGTGAGACTTATTCACTATCATGAAAACAGCATGGTAAAGACATGCCCCCATGATTCAATTACCCCCCACCAGATCCCTCCCATGACATGTGGGAATTATGGGAGCTACAACTGAAGATGATATTCGTGTGGACACAGCCAAACCATATCACACCCTTTTATTTGACAATACAGGGATAGAGCTAGGAAGAATTATTTCACTGAGGCCTACTCATTGTTACTGATGAGAGCAGCTGTTTAGAGTCTTAAGTGTTTTCTGTACCAGATATAAGCTCCAGATTCCGAGTTAAAAAAAAAAGTTAAACATTTGTTTTTTAATATATTTATTTTTATTTCTTTGTAATAAGTGGAGACTTCTAAGAAACCCAATCCTCTTGTCTAAATCTAAAGACAATACTGAAAAACAATTTTTTTCAAATATCAGTTGCAACCTGAAACATTTATAACAATGCTCAGCACATGCTAGCTGACTAATAGATCTTTTTGAATGAATGTTATTATTATCATCCTGTGATTTTAGGTATAATGCTTAATAGATATACTAATTATTTCTCATTCTGATCTGAAATTTTGCTAATTAGTATTCATGCAATTTTATGATGAGAGATAATTCTCTCTGGATCTCTCACATATTTGAATGTTTTACACACAGAAGCACTGACTGCCTTTTTTGTGACTATCTTCACAGAAATGTTTGTGCAGCAATCAGCCTTAAAAAATAGTGTCTCCCTCTGAAGCAGAAAGCTAGTTTACTTATTTTCCAGTTTTAATAAAGGTAATATCTTCCTCTGGAGCAAAGGTAGGCATGCTAACTTACATTATAAAATATTCAATTACATAGTATCAGTTTCCCTTGCCTGTAATACAGCCTACTGCCTGTATAGCTATCATCTAGTCCTCTTCATGTTTTTCTGTGAGTATTGGAGTTTAGGGAACCAGCACAAGAAAAATCTGATGCTCTGGTTACTGCTATTGCTGTGAGTAATAAATTTCTTTGACTCTGACTCTAGAGTCTCATTTTTACTGCCAGCATTCACGAAACTGTGACATAAATAGATAGCTGGAAAGTAGTGTAAGATCTCAGACCAGGTACAGCTTTCCTGGTAAACACAGGATCATGATGCTGATAGAGACATGGCTTTAGCAAGAGGAAAGGTAAGGTCATCACATGCTGAATAATGGAACTTGAGAGGAACCCATGAGGATCATTATAGAAAAAGCTAACAAAATTGTGTAGTCAACTGAGTATAAAGGGTCCTTCACTTAATTGCCAGTTAACGAGTTTTGTGACCATTGGGTAATCAAATATACATTTTTTAAATACATACATATATTTGATGTTGTCAGTAATAAAATGACAACAAATTCAATTAAAAATAGGTAAAATATTTGAAGACATACTTCCCAATACAAGATAAATGGATGTCCAATAAGCAACTGAAAATGTATTCAATAATTCATCATTAGTAAAATGCAAATTAAAACCACAATGAAATACTACTATTGAAACAACGAGATACTTCTAAACACTCACTATAATGTTTAAGATTAAAAGACTGAAAATACCTAGTATTGACATTTTAATTAGTTGTCTGTGGGAATATAAAAGACCACAATCACTTTAGAAAATAGCCTGGAAATTTCTTATAAACATACACGTAACATGTAACCCACTAATTCTATTCCTAGTTATTTGCCCAAAAAAATTCAAAAATATGTCAATACAAATACTTGTACAAAATGTTTAAGACAGCTTTCTTGAAAAATATCCAGAAATTGGAAACCTCCCAAATGTGCATCAATAGATAAAAAGATAAACAGATTGTGTTATATCAAAACTTGATTTACTGCCCAAAAATAATCAGGAATGAACTACTGATTCACTAACACAGATGAATCTGAAAAATATTATGCTGAGTGAAAAATGCCAATTGCAACAGAGTACTCCCTGGATGATTCCATTTATATGTAATTCTAAGAAAGGCAAAATTAATCTGTAGTGGCAAAATATAGACCAGTGGTTACCTGAAACTGGCAATGTGAGGGACTTACTACAGAGAAACATGAAAGAACATTTCAGGATGACACAAATGTTCTATATCTTGATTGTGGTGGCATATATTTGTCAATATCAATTGAACTTTTATGTTTAGATCATGTGTGTTTGAATGTATGTAGATTATCTTCGAAGCTTTTATTTTTAAAATTGAATGAGTTTATGTCAATAAAATGAATGGTCCAAGAAAAAAATGGCGATTTAGAAAGAGTGCATAATTTTTTTCAATAATTTTTAAAATATACTTTGCTTTTCACTCTAAATACTTAATCAAAACACTTAGAAGAATCAAAGGGCTGTTGTTATTTAGGCAAAAAGAGCAGAATTGTGTTATACAAAGAATCTCTTGAAAAGTACAGTGCATATAAGAAACAAAAATAAATAAAATAGTGAGAATACCAAGGTATACATTTTCATGTTTTGTATTTAATATCTGTTTCCTTCTATGAAACTAAAACTGTCTAAGGTCAGGTAACTTTTTTCTTATTTGTTGCTAGTGCTTGGCACACTGCTTGACTTACAGTAGGAAATCAAATCGTCATCTGTCACCTGAATGGCTATGTCAGTATCTAATTTTATTTCTTTTAGACCAAAAACTATTTCTTGGTGTTACAGGCAGAGGCTCTTTTTAGACCAATTTTATAAAATCGTGTCAGTTACATTGTCCAAATTTACCTTCATTATGTGTAGGCATTGGCTGCTGCTAAGACCATTTATGGGTCACCATAGAAGTCCACAGGCACCGGCCCCTCTCACAGAGCTGCGACTCTGTATTTGACCATTACTCAGTAGGGTTACAAAGCCATGGAAAACAAATTCAACAACTGGCTCTCAGACAAGGCTTGCCCTGGAGAGAGAAAGAAGATATGAACGTCAACAATTTATAGTGAATATAATTACATTGCACATAACTAGAGTTGATGCTATTATGGAAGAAATGACACAGCAGTGAGGTTTTTCCATCATTTTATATCTTGCCACCCTCTTATCAGCGCTCATTTCACTTTTCACTAGTTATAAAATTGACAGCATTTGCTGCAGTTTGTACAGCTTTTCAGGATAGACAATTTTGAGATAGTTTTCCTGAGTGCCTGGTTGAGTTAGCACAGAAGAAATACAGTATAAATAATATGTTCAGATTTGACAAATTATCAAAAGTACCGAATAGATTTGCCCTGTGATCAAAAAGTAGCCCAAAATTGTGGGTTAAGTGAGGAAATACAGAGGAAATGAAAAGAATAATTTTTTCAGCCAACCTAAGAAAATAGAACAAAAATTTAATTCTTTGCTAATATGTATCTATATGTGTGTACATATGAAAAGGATTAAATTTTCTTAGGTGGATTGAAATAATTGTTTTTTCCATTTCCTTTATTTCATCTTTTGTCCCACAATTTGAGGCTTCTTTTGGTCACAGTGTAAATAGATTTGGAACTTTTGATAACTTGTCAAATCTGAACATATTATAGTTATATGTAATATATATGACTGTATTATTATATATGATTATATTCATATACAAGTAATATATATGGCTACCGAATATATATTTTATATATATGACTATATAATACAGGAGCTTTATATATATATACTGAATATATATAATATATAATATTGAATCAATGTATAATAATAAATACAACTGAAGGGGTTCATCTTGAAACTTAATTGAGTTATATCTGTATCATGTCATCTTCTTGCATTTGGAACTGAACTGGTAAACTAGGATTTAACCACCCTGATCCAGGGACTCAAATTTGAGAATGCAGCTTCCTAAGATGAAAGTAATCTCTTTCAATGGCTCTGATAGGGGAATGATACCACTTTTAACAGTCAGTTTTTCATCCATTGTCACATCTCACTTAAATCACTTAGATTCTCTAAACAAGTGTTTGAGGTTTATTTTAGAATGTTTCTAAAACACTTCAATTTCCATTGGACTTATCATCTCCTGGCGTGGATAACAAAGCAATGAGGGCAAGGCAGGCAGCCAGCAAAACTGGAAAGCAGGAAATGTGCATTGTTGCTGTCACCAGTCTCTACGCTCACAGGCTGTATATCACATTAATGATATGTGTTCATCTCCCGCACAGCCTAACGCCCCAAATTACTCAGCTTATCACACCTTCAAAACCTGCTATGAGCAGAGTTGCTGAAGAAATTCTGTAGGCATGCATGACTATTCAACTTACACATGCTGTACTTCTTAGAACTTATTTGCACTTAAGGAATGTAGATTGCAGCTGAAGAAATAAGGTTAGAATGTATGATTTCAGACATCAGTGAATTTACAAATTTCTGACAAAATCATGAATGTGGCTGCCTAAATCAATTCATTATTAAAGAGTGATTTTCCATGAAAATAAGACTTCTAAGAAATGACTCCAATTGTATAATCTTCATACTATGCATACATTCTGGGACAGATGACCCAGATATTAACCTCATTTTTAGGAGCTCCATTTCATTTACATAAATCATTTGATACATTAAGCTGATTTAAAACAAAAGGGGACAGATTTTTATCTTTTGAACATGTTTTTAGCATAAATCTCCATGTTTTAAAAGTATGGAACTTGAATGACTGAACAATATTTTGAAAGAAAAAATGCAATAGTTTTCTTGCAGTATATAGAGATAATGAATAGAATTGCAGACATGGAAAAAAACCTATGAAGTTGGACTGCTTCAGTGAAATTCTGATGGCATAAATTCCTACCGGTAGTGTGGCCTTGGACATGCTATTGTATAAACCATCTGTGCCTCAGCTCCTCATTTGTGAACTCCTTATTTATCCTCTTTAGTAAACTGGAGGTAGCAATAGAATTCGGATCATTGAATTGTTGTGAGAATGAAATGTGTTAATCCATGTGGAATGTGTTACATGTGGGTGATACAAACAAAACATTGAGTTAATGTCAATCCTTATCTTTCCTGGGCAGGATACATTTAATATTGAGTGGAATGGTCATAGCTGCTAGCTCAACTGAGATGATCAATGAAGTATACTTAAATTGAACAGTAAAGTACTTGCATAGTTATCATCTTTTCTAAATACTTACAAAATCGTATGAGATATAACTGCTTTTCATAGGTGTGGAAACTTAGGCTCTTGGAAGCCATGCAACTCAGATAAAGTCACATGCTAATAAGCAGTTAAGTTGTGACTTGAACTTGAAATTTTTAGGCTAGAATGCCTTCTCATAAGCCACAGTTGCTGTCCCTGAAGTATCCTGTCCTGATGAGCTGGGAATGCAGGGGGAATTGTTATGAATGAGAGGCTTCCTCATGGCCTATCAAGGATTTTAATGTACCAAACACACTAGACTTTATTTAGGTATACGCTTGTCCCCCGAGTCTGATGAGATTGCTGTGGCAATCACTGGCTGAGTGTGACCTTAAACCTTCAAAGACCTGTGAGCCAGTTACACACCTTCCATGCTCTGTACTCATAAGAATCACATTTAGATTCTAGCTGCAGCAGAGAAAACTAAGTTAATAAGACATTACTGACCTCAAAATGTATCCAGGAAATTGAGTTAAACTTTGATGTGAAGGTTAAATTGACCTTTAGCAGAACTGTTCTCTAATTTTTCTTATTTCCCTTTTCTCTATATGCCTTGTCTCTATCTACCTTTCCATTTATCATTGTCTAAGGGCATTATTTCATCTTTTTTCTAAGCCTTTCTCTCTTTCATCCTTTTTCTTTCAACCTAAGCTTCACATATCTTATTTCCTTTAAAAATTATATTCTGTGAACTATCTTCCCGTATTTATCTTACACTTTTATATTTCTATTATATCTCATATCCTTGGGAACTTAGTAGGTTTTTAGGAAGACTTGCTTAAGATTTTATAGCTTTAGGGCCTGAGAGGTAGTTGCAGATCATTTAGTTTATTTTTTTTTATTTTACCTATGAAGCCACAAATGTTGAGTAATTTTTTTTAAGTATAAACAGTTTTCCAGGAGATTTATCACATAATTCATTTATATTTCTATAGTTCCACTACTATATATTATTGCACCGATTTCTTTACCATGTTTGGGCCACTTGAAATACCTTGCTTTCAGGATCTGCTTAGTATTTACTATTGTCTGCCTTTATTTTTTATTTTTTTTTGTATTGACATTTTGCAGATTAGGGATCATCTTACTGATATTACTCAATGCTATTCTTTACTAAACAAAGTACTTACAAATTACTTTTTTGTTGATCTTAAAAAGGACATTGTGGTAAAAAGTGAGTTTTTTTTTTAATTAGTAATCTTTATTTTTTATTTCACAGCAAAATTGAGTGGGGAATACAGAGAATTTCCATATATCCATATCCCCATACACATGTACAACCTCTCTCACTACGGATCCTCCACCAGAGTGGCATATCTGTTACAGTGAATGAAACTACATTGTCACAGGGTTATCACCCAAAGTCCGTAGTTCACATTGAGGTTCATTCTTGGTATTGCACATGCATGGTTTTTAACATATGCATGAAGGCATGTATTTGCAAAAGGCAGTATGAAATATTTATTAAACAGAATAGGTTCTTACATCTGTGGTTCTGTGCCTGGTATTAAATTGAGAAAATTCTTCCTGTTGCTTCAAATATTGCTTCTTTTCTTTTTTCTCTTTCTTTTTCTAGTTTTCCCAATAGGGGTATTTGCCATTGTGTAGTTGTTCCATAGTCCTTGAGTGTTTTTCTTTCTATCTTTCTCCTCTTTGCTTTTCAGTTTTAAAAGTTTCTATTGTCATATCCTCAGGCTCAGAGATACTTTCCTCAGCTGTGTCTAGTCTGCTAATGAGTCCACCAAAGGCCTTCTTCATTTCTGTTACAATGTTTTTATCTCTAGCATTTCTTTTAAATTCTTTCTTAGAATTTCCATTTCTCCATTTACAATAGCTGTCATTATTGCATGTTCTCTTTATTTTTCCTACTAAAGCCCTTGCATATTAATGATAGTTTCAGAAAATTCTCGGTTTGATAATTCCAACATTTCTGCCATGTCTGACTCTGGTTATGATATTTGTTTGGTGTCTTGAAACTGTGTTTTCTATCTTTTAATATGCCTTGTAATCTTTTGTTGAAAGATGAACGTGATTTACTGTGTTAAAGTAAGTACAGTAAACAGGTCTTTAAAATTATAATGGTAACATGTTGGGAGAGGGAAATTATTCACTATAGTCCTTAAGTCATATTCTCAAGTTTTTGTGTGGGCTTTTTTTCTTTCTTATCTATATTCTTTATTACATTTATATGGTGTTAAATCTATTAAAAGTATAATACACACAGCAAAAACCTAAACTAAAATAGAATTACGTACATCTCTATTCTTAATAAAGGAAAAATACACCATCCATTTATTTTTGTCTAACTACAGAGAAACTTAACAGTGCTGTGAAAGGATTTAACCAAAAAATTTTATTGATGATGGTAACTGTGGTGATTATGATGGCAGGGGTGTGAAAAAAGAAAGGAGACCTGTGGATAAGTATTAGTTTAACAGATCAAGAACAGAAGGATATTGGGAAAGAAGTTAATAATTTAAGTGGAAAAAATAAATAGTACATATAAATGTTCCATAAAACCTGACATGTTATAAATATTAAAGACCAGTATGGCTTTTATTCGATAAGTTAAAGAAAATAGTGCTGAAAATAACCCTCAAAATATAGGCATGAAAAATATGATTTTGGCCCACAGAGTGTATGCCAAAGATTTTGCATTGGATTATAAGCAGAATCAGAGGCCATTTTGAAGAGTTTTGAAATGGGGAATGAACAAATCCAACTTACTTATTTTTAAAAAAAGACTGCTCCAGGTGCCGTGTGAAAAATGGATGGTGATGGAGAGGAGTCAAATTACCATAGCATTGGAATCTATTTCCATATATGGGAGCAAAATAATTTCCAGCTGGAACCAAGTTTCCTGCAGAAATTTATTCAATGCTCTTCAGAGGGATTTCAGAAAATAACATTTTGTTATTAACAGAATTCTTTATTACTGCAAACAGCAAAAAACTGTGTAAATCTGCAGAAATAAAATGTTCACAAATTGAATGCATTTGCAATTGAAAACCAGAATTGAATTAAGCCTACATTCACCAAAATATAAAATATTTTATATGATAATATGAGTAAACAAATGCTTGATTGTAAGAATACAAAATCTATTTAAATTTCAAGAGTAATGTTTATGAAATTAATCATCTAAGCCACTAGATATTATCCGGGGGCTGTGGATACAGTAACGTAATGATTATATTATGCTCTTATCACTGGAAGAATTGAGGTAAAAAATGGTTAAAAGTAGTTTTGAAAATTGGGTAGGGGAATCAAATTACAGTTTTAAAAATGGAAGTCATATGTGCCAATAATATGAATCAAAACCAGCCATCTTTGATATAGTGTCAGATGTTAAGAAAATTAACATTTGATATCTGTAAATGTTCACTGGCACAATTGTTCACTAACCTGTTTACCCTGTTATCACAGTCAAGACTTAATCTTAGGGATGCTCTATTTATTTTTAGATCAATAAGGACTATGCCTTAGACTAGGTAAAGAAATGAAGAATGTGCCAAAACTATTTCAGGGTTTATTTCACTGAGAAATCTGGTTCCAGTGACTAGTAATTCTGACAAATATTTTTTAAGGTAGTTAACCATATTCCTTATATTCAGTGGTGAATTTACATTGTCAAAGATAGACTGTGGTTTGGCATGTGACAAAGTGATCTTAAACTACTCTTTTTGGTATGTAGATGACGTCAAGTAATTGTGCCATATTTTGTGAGTCCAATAAAAGGAAGATGAAAGGAATGGCCTGGGCCGGGCGCGGTGGCTCACGCCTGTAATCCCAGCACTTTGGGAGGCCGAGGCGGGCGGATCACGAGGTCAGGAGATCGAGACCATCCCGGCTAAAACGGTGAAACCCCGTCTCTACTAAAAATACAAAAAATTAGCCGGGCGTAGTGGTGGGCGCCTGTAGTCCCAGCTACTTGGGAGGCTGAGGCAGGAGAATGGCGTGAACCCGGGAGGCGGAGCTTGCAGTGAGCCGAGATCCCGCCACTGCACTCCAGCCTGGGCGACAGAGCGAGACTCCGTCTCAAAAAAAAAAAAAAAAAAAAAAAAAGAAAAAAGAAAAAGAAAGGAATGGCCTGTTCAAGCATGAATGACTGCCTTTTTTTCTTGACATTTAGATACTGTATTGTTTTTATCAACATTACTTCTGAAATGACTA
Source organism: Homo sapiens (assembly GCF_000001405.40). Lineage (NCBI taxonomy): Eukaryota > Metazoa > Chordata > Mammalia > Primates > Hominidae > Homo > Homo sapiens. Next base: position 11,960 of record NW_003315915.1, on the reverse strand, counting down.
AATTAAATCATGGTCTAATGGCTATAGGAGTAGCTACTTTCCTACATGGCATATTTTTAATATTTAATATACCATAGCTAATTTAAGTGTATTATAAAATGAAAACAAACAAAAAAAACTTCAAAATAAGCCAACAATAAAATACTAAGTGAGATTTAGTATTTATAAATAAAACTTTCTGCTGGATTTGTGTTTTTAACTTAAATGTCCTCAATTTTATTTTGCATTACATAACCTTTTAATTTAGTAACAGAAGCCTCAGAAACGACTGGTTACACCAAAAAATTGGCATAATGGCGTTATTTTATAGTTGAATGTAAATTCATTCCCAAGTACTTTAATCTTGCTTTTAATTCAGTAGAATTTTTCCTCTGAGGCATTTGCAGTTTGTCAGTTCTTCACTAAAGCAGATATATGTTGCGCAGTATGATATACTTTCCTGACTGGATTTCAAATTAACCTTTTTCTATCAATTCTAAAATGCAATACTTGACCACTAAAGGTACTATTAACACCTCTGAGGTTCAGCGTGTTATTAAACTTAAAGCAAATCAATGAAGTTCATATTAAGATCAGATTAAAGATTTACATTCTGTAAAAGGTTAAGCAAATTTCCATGCTTTTTGATATTTTTAATTTGCATCTTTAATAAGCTGTAGCATCAACAGAGCTGCTGGCTTCATTTGCAGATGTTTCAACACAAAAAAAAACTTGTTTGTTTGCTTGTTTGTTTCCCCACAATGTCAAAATATTCTAGGTCAGAAGTTTAAAGTCTCTGGAGCACCAACATGAGTAAGCCACCAAATTTTAATACTTTAAAGAACTTCAGACTTGATGATGATACTGAAAGGGACTCAGCCCTTTTTGGCCTCATCCCTCTTCCTTTACCTAATACCTCCTTGCCCACTGTTACTGACCTCCCTTGTGTATTTTGACCTAGAAGCAGAAGTCCTATGAGTTTCTGAACATAAAGAAAAGGACTGGACCTTAGCAGAAACTTGAGCATGAACTACTTCAGACCACTAGGGGATTCTTCTGTAACATTTTCTACTGAGTTAGTGCAGCTTTCAAAATTGTCAAGTTTTCCCCTGAGGATAATTTAGACAATGAGGCAATCTGTGCTTTAAATTTTCTTCAGTGGCTAAAAGTACTCCTTTTCTCACTAGGTCTTAAAGGATGCACTTGAATATGGACTTATTTAGGTCACTAGGGCATCCCAGAGCCAATGTGGAGCAGGAGAGTGTTAGAAGAGCATATTAACTCTTCAGACTATTAAGATGCCATTTCATCTGCACAAGTCAATGCACTCTTCAAGCTACCTATTTTCCTTCCACTAGGGAATACTGCAATCAACTGGAATAAACAGTTAAGTAAGTATTTTCTTTTTAAAGACTCTGCCCCAAATGATGAAGATGTGACTTCAAATAGAAGGTCTTAATAAAAAAAGAGTATTGTTTTAGTGATTATATTGGAGGAGATTAGTCAGAGGGCTTCAAGTATATCTATGATAAAGTGCATTTGTGTAAACTGTTCTTCATATTCACCACTAAGCTTTTAGTTTTCAGGCCTGTTTATATTTGACATAACTTTCTTTTTTTAAATGAAATTTTCGAATGTACATTTAAGGCAAACAGAGAAATAATAATCCAAATGGTGTCTTAGAAGCACTATGTTTTTCTATTAATCTTGAAGCAAAAATCAAACTGTAGCACTTGGAGGTTGCTTTGTTTTGAATGTGTCCCCCAAATTTAATGTGTTGTAAACTTAATCCCCATGACAACAGTGTTGAGAAGTGGATCCTAATGGGAGGTGTGTAGGTCACGAGGGCTCCATCCTCATGTATGAAATAATCTCATTATCATGGAAATGAATACATTATCCCAGGAGTGGATTTATTTTAAAAGTGAGTATGACTTCCTCTTGCTCTCTCTCACTCTTACCCTCTTTTGACCTTCCATCTTCCACCATGGAATGACACATAAGAAGGTCCTCACCAGATGCCAGCTCTATGCTGTTGGACTTCCCAGTCTCCAGAACCATGAACCAATAAATTTACATTCTTTATAAATTACCCAGTTTCAGGAATTCTGTTATAGCAGCACAAAAGAACTAAAGCTAAAAGGCAAAATCAAATAACCATGTCAAGATGCACAGTCAAGGAAGTTTCTATTGAGTCCGAATATAATCTGTGCCAGTATCAAATAGTCAATAAATGCTGTCTCACTCTGCACCATTAATTTACATGATCAGGTACAATGTCTACTCTAATATCATTTTTTCGAGCATCATATATTAACTAGACACCAAGGGGTTAAACTGAGTTTGTATGACAAACTGAAAACTAAGTGATCGTGGAAGTTATGGGTCTATAGCTTAAAAATAAGTAAAGAAAAGGTAAACTGTCTAAACTAACTACACACACACACACATGCATATAAATGCACACTTGCAAACATACTTAGAGCCAAAAGCATACTTGTATGTATGGGATAAAAGAAAGTGGTAAAGAAAGAAACATGTTTATGTCACTTTTACCCTTCTCTTAATAATCTTACTGCTTTTGCTGTAAGAATAAAAGTTTGAATTCAGTTTCAGCTGCTTTTTAATCTCTGAAGAACTTTTACGAGAGATTCTTTTGAAAAAAAAAACAGAAAACAAATGCATGTGTCTTTCATTATTTAAAATAATTATATTCATTGAACGACAAAGACATTCTTAAATTGGAAATTATCATGAAGGAAACTCGATATTCTGGAGTTGGCATATCAAATTTGGTATGTGGATGTAGGCATGTGTGATTTTGGGAAAGGGAACACAATGTGGTTAAGGTCTTGGTCTCTGAAACCAAACTACCAGTATTTAAAACTGAGTTCAGTGACTTAGCAGTCCTATGACATAGTCAGTCAATCTGCTATTGTCTCTGTGTTTAAGTTTTCTCGTTTTCAAAGTGATGATAATATAAGACCTGACTAGCTTCAGAACACTTTTGTGAGAATTAAATGACAATTAAATGACTTAATATATGCAAATTATTTAAAACAGTGCTTGCTGCATAAAAATTTCTGGAAGTTATTCAGATATAAAACTGATAGATTAATATTAGTACAAATTCTAAATATTTTCTTATGTTTTATTTCCTTCCTAATAATTCTGATTTCAGTAATACTCTCAGATAATCCTTTAGTACACAATTCAGTTCACGTTTGAAGGCCCATGTAAAGTCTTTCTTGTTTGCTCCAATGCAAAGTAATTTCTCTTTTTCTAAACTTCTCTATCACATATAGACTGCTGCACTTAGTTGCACAATGTCCCTTGCAACATATATCAAGTTTTAAAACCTGCTGTCTATTCATTCTGTCTTCCATAAAATCTTAGTCCCTCTTGCTTCAATGAAAGTCCATTTCTTCTTATACTGAAATTTGTGAAAATGATGAACAGCTGGGCATAATCGTTCATATAATCCTATACTCAAACCTTTATGTCAGTTACCTTGTGATTTTCTTCTCTGTAAACTAACTACAAAACCATAAAGTGTTTCCTGGTCATTGTTTCACCCAAAATCTTTTTACTGCATTGTTCAAATACCAGTCCCCTCTTTCTTTAAAATGCCTTCACTTCTGTTCTCTGGTTCTCTGGGACCACTTTCTCACCTTCTTTCCCAGTATTACAGTAAGTCATCTAGTATTGTTGTGTTCATTGAAGAGATACGGTCTGTTTCACATTCCTATCCAGAAGCAGGACCTTAACTGAATTGCCTGTGGATGATGTGTCCTTACAGGGAAGTAACATTATCACTTCTTTCATTAATATTAATTCTTATAAAAACTCATAATTATTTTTTCCCAAGAAAATTTTAATTTATATCTTGATGATGAGCTGTTACATTAGCCAATAAATATTCAGAAAAATATTATAAAACACATTTTAAATGTTTTTATTAGGAGCATACTATTTATTAAAATGTTGAATTTTTGATAATGGATTGTCCCAAATGCTACTACTTTTCTTCTCCTTGTACAATATGTCTGACATCCATGATATTCTTCCTCTATAATTAAACAGAAGACAATATATACTCAATCTTATTACTGAGCTCCCTCTTGCATGATGATAATTAAATGACCATGGATTTTATGTGTATAAAAACAGTAATTTTGTTTTCATGTTCCACTGAATAATAGTAATTATTATTATTATTAGGAAAAAATGATGGAAAAAATCAGAAAGGTAAAGTCGGGAAATACACGGATACTTAGAATCAACAAATATGATTTAATAAATAGGAGGTTATTTTGGTTTATTTGGCTTTTAATTGAGTTCTTATCTTTATGAACGTATGAGAAAATATTTTCCTTTGAATTTTTTTTTTTTTGTGAGACAGAGTCTTGCTTATCACCCAGGCTAGAATGCAGTGGTGTGATCTCAGCTCACTGCAACCTCCACCTCCTGGATTCAAGCCATTCCCCTGCCTCAGCCTTCTGAGTAGCTGGGATTACAGAAATGCGCGACCACACCCGGCTAATTTTTGTATTTTTAGTAGAGACGGGGTTTCGCTGTTAGCCAGGCTGGTCTCCCACTCCTGACTCAGGTGATCCCCCCACCTCAGCCTCCCAAAGTGCTAGGATCACAGGCGTGAGCCACTGTGCCCTCCCTTTCCTTTGAATTTGGAAAGAACCGTTAAGCCTTGAGGACAAGACATATTTGCACATTTGTATGCCCAGTGACTGAGGTGCAATAAGTTTCAAATTAAGATTAGAAAATGGTCTAGCATATTTCATTTTCTAGTATTAGCACACGTGTCCCAAGGAACGCTTTTTAAAAGGATGTTAATCATTGTCAAACACATTTGACAAGTGCCAGATTAAATACATTTGAACAGGTTTCTTAAAGAATTTATCAGAGCTCAGGATTCGTATCTTTTAAAGGAGATGAAAATATGCATTTTCCAGAAAAACGTAGATGATCATAAACTTTTCTTTCCAGAACAGCTTGTAAAATTAATAAGAGTTTGGGATTTGAAATTTTAAACAAGTATTGTATAAGTAAATTTAATAGGATTTAATATTGCTAGAGAACTTTATACCAGAAATATATTTATTAGGAAAATAAAATAAAAATAAATATGAACAAGCAAAAATAATAATTTGTATTTATTTTGTTTTACATAGTTAAATGATAACTTTTGTTAATATGACGTGTTTTTCATTTTAAAATAGCATATTTAAATGTAAAATGTGCATGCCTTTGAACCTACTAATTCAACTTTTAGGAATGTTTCTCATAGATATGTGTGAATGTTTTTTATACACATGTGTGAAATTATATGTATAATATTTGTTGTAGCATTTTTCACCAATAAGGAAATAATTGGAGCAGTATGAGAGTTTCACAGAATGGAATTAGTATGTGGCTTGAATTTAGGACTAATAAATGATTCAATAAGGTTGCAAGATAGAAAAATAACATAAAATAATGAGTTGTATTTCTACACACTAACAATGACCTGAAAAGGAAATTAGGATAACAATTTAATTTACAATCAAATGAGCTAAAATACCTCAAAATAAACTTAAGTAAGAAGATGAAAGACTGTATATTAAAAACTGCAAAACATTGATGAACGACATTAAATAAGGCACAAACAAATGAAAAACTCCAATGTTCAAGGATTAGAAGACTTAATATTATTAATATTCATTCTACCCAAAGTGATCCATAGATTTAATACAGTCCCTATCAAAATTCCAATGGCATTTTAAAGAAAGTAGAGGCCAGTCACAGAGGCTTACTCCTTTAATCCCAGCACTTTGGGAAGCAGAGGCAGGTGGATCACCTGGGGTCAGGAGTTCGAGACCAGCCTGACCAAAATGGAGAAACCCTATCTCTACCAAAAATACAAAATTAGCCGGGCGTGGTGGCACATGCCTGTAATCCCAGCTACTTGGGAGGCTGAGGCAGGAGAATCCCTTGAACCCGGGAGGCAGAGGTTTGGGTGAGCCGAGATCCCACCATTGCACTCCAGCCTAGGCAATAAGAGCGAAACTCCATCTCAAAAAAAAAAAAAAAAAAAAAGAAAGTAGAAAAGAATTTAAAATCCACAAGAACTGTAAAAAATACAAATAGCCAATCAATCTGGAGAAAGAACAAAGCTGAAATTATCACACTTCCTGATTTCACAGTATATTCAAAAGCTGAAGTACGGTGGCTCACACCTGTAATCCCAGCACTTTGGGAAGCCGAAGCGGGCAGATCACGAGATCAGGAGATTGAGACCTTCTTGGCTAACATGGCAAAACCCTGTCTCTACTAAAAATACAAAAACAAAATTAGCCAGGCGTGGTGGCGGGCGCCTGTATTCCCAGCTACTCGGGAGGCTGATGCAGGAGAATGGCGTGAACCCAGGAGGCGGAGCTTGCAGTGAGCCAAGATCGCGCCACTGCACTCCAGCCTGGGCGACAGAGCGAGACTCCGTCTAAAAAAAAGAAAAAAAAAAAACTAAAGTAATCAAAACAGTAACGTATTAGCATAAAATCAGACCCATAGACCAATGTAATAAAATAGAGAGCACTGAAATAAATCTATGCATATATAGTCAATTGATCTTCAAGAAGTAAGCAAGAATATACAATGAAAAAAGGATAGTGCCTTCAAAAAAGGATGTTTGAAAAGCTGAATATCCACATTTAAAAGAATGAAATCAGACCCTTATATTACACCATACACAAAAATCAGTTCAAAATAAATTAAAAAGTTAAACATAATAGCCCATATTATAAAACTTGTATAATAAACATAGTGGAATAGTTTCGTGACATTGCTCTTGGCAATAATTTTATAAACATGACACTAAAAGCACAGGCAATGAAAACAAAAATAAACAAATAAAATGTCATTAAACTAAAAAAAAAACTTAAAAAAAAAAGAGTGAAAAGGATTCTTATGGAGAAATATTTGCAAACCATGTATCTAATAAGGGATTGATTTCCAAAATGTATAACAAACACATCTCAATAGCAAAACAAGCAAACTAACAAATACCCCTAAATAATCTGATTTAAAAGTGGGCACAGAACTTGAATAGACATTTCTCCAGAGAAGTATATACAGCAAGAATGTAAAAAGATGGCCAACATTACTAACCACAAAATAATACACATCAAAACCACAACGATATATCATCTCACACTTATGAGGCTGGCTACTAATAGAAAAGAAACAAAATATAAGTGTTGGTGAGATTGTGGAAATATTAGAATCCTTGCACACTGCTTGTGGAAATGCAAAATTTTTCACTGCTATGAAAAAGAATATGATGTTTTCTGTTTATATTTTTAAATTAAATATAGATCTGCCATATGATTGTCACTTCTAGGTATTCTTCTAAAGAATTAATGTTAGGATTTTGAAGAGATATTAGCACTCCTATGTTCGCTGCAGCAATATTCAAAATAGCTAAGATCTTCAACCGCCTAAATATTCATTGATAGATACTATATAAAAAAGTAGTATGTACATACAATGAAATACTATTCAGACATGAAAAGGAATTTTTTAATATGCAACAACGTGGATGAACTTTGAGGATATTAAGCTAAGTGAAATAACCAAGTGACAGAAAGACAAATACTGAATGATTCAATTTATATGAGTATCTAAAATATTCAAATTCATAGAATCACAGCGTGGTTTTCAGGGGTTAGGGAGGAAGAACTCTAGAGTTACTAATCAATGAGCATCCATTTTTAATCAAGTAAGATGAATAAGGTCTGGAGATCTGCTGTATAACATTGTACCTGGAGTCCACAATAATGTATTATACACCAAAAATTGTAAGACAGTAGATCTCATTTTAAATGTTTTCACCACAATAAAACAGAATTAAATTTAATTTAATTTTAAAAAATAGTCAAAGGATCAAAATAGAGATTTCTCCAAAGATAATATGTAAATTGTCAATAAGCACATGAAAGATGGTTAATATCACTGTCCAAGAGGCAGATACAATTCAAAGCAACAAGAAACCACTCCATACCCAATAGGATGGCTATAATTAAAACGACAATTTATTCCACATGTGATTGAGGATATGGAGGAATTGGAACCCTCATGGACTGCTTGTGGGAATGTAGAGTGGTGCAGGCTTTATATTAAAAAATAGTCCAGCAGTTTCTCAAAAAATTAAACCTAGAGTTACCATGTGATCCGTCATTCCACTCCAAGATATATAGCTGCATAGTGAAAACATATTTTCACACAGAAACTTATAAATCAATGTTTAAAGCAGCATTATATGTAATAACCAATAGGTTAAAATAGTCCAAATGCCCCTCTACTGATTAATGAATAAATAAAATGTAGTACATCCATACAACAAAATATTATTCATCAAGAAAGATAATTGAAGTACCAATATATACTACAACATGAATTAACCTTAAAAGCGTTGTCCTAAGTGAAGGAAGTCAGTTGAGAAGGGCAACTTCTTGTATAATTCCACTTACACAATGTATTCAGAATAGGCAGTTCTATGAAGACAGATCATAGATTAGTCGTTGCCTAGGGCAGAGAAGGATGGCGACTGATGACTAAGTGGCACAGGATTTGTTTTGGGGATAATAAAATGTCCTATATTTGATTGTGATGATAATGTACAACTTTGTGAAATACAAAAAAAATTGAATTATACATTTTAAATGGGTAAATTGTAGTATATGTGAATTATATCTTAATAAAGCTGTTGAAAAAACAGACTATCTCTATCTATTTCAGTATAGATTCATCAGAGTGCATATCATGTTTGTTCAAAAGCTGGCTTTTTTCGCTTGTGAAGGAAACCAAAATATGCCAACCCAAAATATACTTCTTTGGTATATTTCAAGATGGCTATTCAGAGTTGCTGCAAACACAGGAATAGCCCTGTAAAGCTGTCTTTTGCAGGGATTGGCATCTGCAGAGGAAATCTACATTAGGGAAATAAACAGTGGATACAAATAGGCTTTCTCTGAGGACACCCTTATCTTCCTTTTCTCTATCTAGGAAGGATTAACTCACAGGCAAAAAAAAAACCAAAAGCAAACAAAAAAATCACTACAAGTCAGACACTTTTAAAGGTCTGACAGAAACTTTGATGACAGGCTACCATTTCTTCTCTCTTAGGGAAGCTCAGAGATTACCTGGGAGATTTTCATATGCATAATAAGACATTCTCTGCTCACCTTGTCTTTCGTTCTCTCTCCCTCCCACAACCTGTTGCCATGCTTCAAGCCTGTGTTCCTTTCTGTAGGGTATAAAAATTTCAGTCATCTGACACTTCTTTGAGTCTCATATTTGCAGGACTCCCATGTCCAAGTGCACATTAATAAATTTATCTTTTCCTCCTATTAATCTGCTCATTGTCAGTTCATTTTCAGTGGGCAGAGCAGAAGCGATCCCTCTTTGACCCTGCACTAATATATGTGAAGTCTCTAGTGTGTCTATGTACACGGTTACCCTCTGCTTTGTTACTCAGATAGCTTTCTCACTGATTTTATTTAGGGTTTTCATCAAATAGTCAATGTTACCCTAACAAAGAAGATCTTGAATCATCCTATGTAATACATCACTCTATTTACTTATTCTATTTTATTTTATATCATACTGTGTGTCCATACAATATATACTGTGATTAAGTAAATTGAATAAAAAATAGGAGGTTAATTGGACCAGTAAGGGTCAAAACAAGATAATATAAATTGTATTATACTATGATTTCTTACAAAATTTATTTATCTATGTAGAGTGCTGTATCTAGAATGTACCCCTTTTAGAAAATTTGCCTTCCTGAATTTTATGAAATATTTAAGATCCATGTCAAATATCACTTTTTTCAAATATTTTCTGTTTATTACAGATTGATGCTATATCTTCCTCCTATTAAATTTCAAAATGCAGTTCTATAAACTTATTTTTGTTAAAGTATGTATGTTCAGTCTTATATTGGAGAGTTTTTTTTTCTTCAAGGATGCTATGAAATTATAGACACCTTGAAGGCAAACACTTTGTTTTATGCCCCCGAAAACTGGTCATAGTGGCTGTTGCAGAAATTTGACCATAGTTTTTGCATTGAATTGAATTGACCATCTGGAGAAAAAAACTTTTTTTTTTCTCAGTCTTCCTGTAAAAAGCTCCACCTTTCTAATCCACAGAAACATATATGCTCTAAAGTTAGAGAGTGCTTGCTTTCAATTCTCTTATTAACATTTCCTCTATCATTGGAATTATATGCTGGCCATTTTTCTAATTAATTGCTCTGCTCCAAACAGGTTATCAAACTTATCTTCCCCAGAAAGTCAAATGGTTACATTCTGGGCTTAGTCCCTCAGTTAAGCACCAAGGTGCCTGGGAGACTGGGGCATTATTTCTCTAGGAATTTAATTGTGAAAGGAAATGAAACTCCAGAACTCAAAAGCATCTTCAGGTCAGAAAAGGAAAGACACATCGGGCTGTCTGGCTCCTGGAGACCATTTGAGGAGCAGAGGGAGAAAGATGCATTTTTCTTTAAAAGCAGGGAAAAATCGTTTTTCCTTATCCCTTACCTCTGCAGTGTCTGGATACTCATATAGGAAAAATTCCCATTAGCTTTCACTGTGTCACAATAAAGATAAGTACTTGAACAAGGGGGAGCTGGCACACTTATATACTCAAAGTAATAAGAATTCTGTCTCTGACACAGAAAACATCATGTGCACATCAGAATAATATTAAGAGAGGTCAATATTAAAAACTCAATACCATCTTAATAGGACTTTAAAAATATGTTTTACCTGAAGTTTTTCTGAGCAGAAGTAACATAGGGTCTTATAGTTCTTTCCCTAGTTTACTTGCATAACTTTTCCCTTCATTTTATTCAACTCTTTGATTAAATGTTCCTTTCTTTCCTTTCCCTTACACATGAAATGTTTTGATATAATTCATTTATTTATTTTCTGGTTTACCATGAACTTATAACTTGGTTGGTGTGAGGTACAAACAGAATGAGTAGTCACAGGAGAGACAATTTTGAAGACAAGACAAAGTATGTATGCTATACATTACAAATCATCATGTGGTTATATTTTAGAAAACTAAAGTTGGAAGCAATTAAAATAAAATATTGAACCAGGCATTTTTATTTTTCATGCATGTCTTACAAACGATGCTTATAAGACTTAACAGTGCTGTGACAATGAATACAATCATGAAATGGTTCCATTAAATGTTTTAATCACTTCCCATCTTGACTATTGCAATTAACTCCTTTATTGTCTTCTTAAATTCTTACTCTCTGAACATCAGGGGGTCCAAAATGTTGCAGAAAAGAATAGTTCTCTTTCTAATTCTACGGCAAGAAATCTCGGCATTCTTTTGCTTGTATCCTCTTATTAATTCAGTGACAGAGCTGGAAGTTAAATTTGTCTCATTATATGACTTAGAGACATAATGCATTTGCAGAAAAGTTTTAAAAGAGTATAGAAGAGTCATAGCATCAAGGAATGAAAAGAACAAATAATTTTAAAATATAAGAAAAACAAGGAAAGAAATCAATACATATAAGAAACATGCAGTCATGTTCAGAGTTTTAGATAAGAACTGAAAAGGAAACTTTAACTTGGAAAGATAAAAGTGGAATATAGTCTTCATCAGTATGTTCTATTATACCAGACCTTGAGATTTGAAAAATAATAATTTTATAAAAGAAACAAAAAGGATAGTATGATAAAGTATCTTTCTTATAAATTATTATTTTTCAAATGCAGAGGTAAAGGATTTAACATACATTTATAAAAGATCCATCAATATTTGTGAACCCCAGTTTAGCAAAGACTGTGCAGAGTTACAAAAATATATTAAATATTCAGAGCACGCTTTTTATTTTTCTTTTTTATTTTGAGGACATAGACAACAATAGTGAACTTTTACTTACAATTACAGCAGTGGAATTC